>NC_000004.12:149527441-149830471 GCF_000001405.40 Homo sapiens | reverse complement strand
CCTGGGAATATGAGAAGGTTTTTTTTTGTTCTTTTCAAGTACGCACGTGCCAGCTGAGAAAGCTGAAACAGATAGACTAGAAGGGTATAATTCCAGGGTATGACTGACATTGTCTGTGAGAATCTTTGGTCTTTTCTTTCACCAAAGCACAGGGGCCCCAAATTTAACTTCTGGTGAATTTTACAGGCACAATGATATCATTAAGCAAATGAGAATTAGAAATCTTCAAGATATAATTTTTATATGCAAGAGGATATATTTGCTTTTGAATGAGTGTTTTAGTAAAGAAATGTAGTCATATAATATAAAATGTATGTAAAAGGAATAGTCATTCTGTTTGGATTTAAGAATTTGTAAAGTACTCATATAGAGTGACATTGTAAAACAGAATTAATGATAGTGTTTTTTAAAAACGGTATAAATTTTAACCAGAGGCCTCAACGAATGCAATAAACCATCTTATTTTTGTGTCAAACATTCTTGGTTGTACCCTTCAAGTAATATCTCTGTTTTCCAGTGAAAACAAATAAAAAACTAAAGCCAAGAATATATGAAGAATCCTGCTTAAGGCTCTGCAATGAAGCAGGACAGAGATGCTGACTGAATCTAGGTTTCTTGAATATTTTTCTGCTTTTTATACAACTGGATTAAACAAATAGCTGATAGAGAAAAAGAAGTTATTTTAGGCAGAAATTTCTGGCATTTTCCCTCTTGTTAATTTTTTTATTCCATTAGACTACATCACCTACACTAAGGAAGTTTGCTGAGCATTGTAACCATTTCAACTTTTGAATTTATACTGAAATTTTATTACCCTGTTTTCTTCATAGCCTACATATATTTCACTGCAGAAATTCACATTAAAGAAGTCATTTTGACCACTTTTCATTAGATCACTAAAATAAATACAATTCTGGTGAACATCAGAATAAAGCACCAGAGAATATTAAAGATGGAAGGGACTTCAGAGGTTATTTAATGAAGGATCTTTCAACCTCAGCACTATGATAATTTGAAATGGATAATTCTTTGTTGGGAAGTAGTGGGGGCAGGAGGAGACAGTCCTGTGCATTGCAGAATGTTTAATAGTATCCCTAGTATCTACTCACTAGATGCTGATAGCATATTTTTATTTATTTGTAGTTGTGACAATGAAAAAGATCACCAGATGTTGCCAAATGCTTCCTGGGGGGCAAAATCACCCTCAGTTCAACCACTGATTCAGTGCAACCCCTTTATTGTAAAGTGATGTTAATATCCTACCTGTTTCCTGAATTAAGAGGCTTTCCCTTATTTACCCAGTTAGTAGCATAGGTAGGTCTATCTAGTATGCCAGAGGTAAGAGAAAACAATGAATAGAGTTATGGATATAATTTATCGATATAAATAGAAATGACGGATACAAAATTTTTATTTAGTGAGCTTGTTTTTGCTTTTAAGGTCCTATTATTTAGTTCTTTTTCTAGCGCCTTCAGATTGTGCTATAGAGCAGTGCCACTAAAAGTCACTAAACACCATGTTTAAATTCAGCTAATTATTTATTAATTCCTTTTGTAGCAAGACTTTCTCAATGAAGAAAGCAGTGTTGATTCCCAGTGTAAGCTTCTATCTTCCCACTGTCCTGAAACAAAGAGTTCACACAAGAAACTTGCTGGTTCCTTGTTTGGTGGCACTGATATAGAGATGGTCATGGCCTGTAAGTGGGCACCCTTTCTAGGTTTACATCTATGCCTACTACTCTCCTTGGACATTTCTCACCCTGAGGCTCTTTTGTCTGCCTGCCATATTCACAAAACAAAATGTATTGTTACCTTCACCAGGTTCATTACATGCAGATAATTCTGTGTCCAATTCTCTTAAAATTTATATTTGCATCTTCACAAGAATGCCCTAGTAAGAGAAATGTTTTGAGACAGATGTCTTTTGATGGCAACTCTAATTCTATCAGACATTAACGAATACTGTGTGTATGTGTATTAGAATCAGAGAGAGAGAGATAGAGATGAGATGAGAATGAGAAATAGGTAGGCAGGCAAAAGGGATCATACTACTTCCAGCAAGAGTGTTCAGGCAGAGAGAGGGATGTGTGCAGGCTCCAGTACAACAAAGAGTTTGGTACCTTGCAGAATGGGGAGGAGTTTTACTGAAGCTGAGGCTAGAGTTCAAGGGGGGAAATGGGGCCTTGAAAGAGTAAACAGAAGGCAGATGGTACAGGACTTGTAAGCCAAATTAAGTAGTTTTGATTTCATCACAAAGACAATGGAAAGCCAGGGATGTAAATTGAACAGATTTAATAAAGACTATCTACCAGAAAGTTATTTCTACTATCCAAGGGTTTCTAGTCTTTTGCTACCTTGATCTTAAAAGTGACCTAGGAGAGCAGAACTAAATCATAATTATAAAGAAACTGAGGCAATACTATTTTCTAAATGTGTGAATGTTTGTGGAATGATGCCAAATTAAACAGAGGGATCAATCACAATTTCATACAAAAGGGGTATTTGGTTCAGAATCTAATAGCCAGGAAAATATCTAGGCATATGACCAGATCTTCTAGGCAAGAGAGAAAAGAAATAGTCTTTAAATTCCACTTAGAAAGCTAATGACTACATTAACTGCTATTAGCATTTGAATAAATAACCTTAGCCCTAACTAGAGCATGCACATTTGGAAAACAGTCTCAGTTTTAGAGAAGACTGCTGCTGGTTCAATTTTTGTTCTGCTGATGGAACAATCTGTTCCTGTTATGGTGCCCCGCTACCTCAGTGAAATAGAAGGATTGCAAGCTGTACAATTGGGAACCCAACAAAGTCAAGCTGTCCTGACTTTTCTAGTTTAGCCTTTGAATTGTCAACTTAGCCATAAACTGGGACATGTTTAACACAGGAGGAGGTCCATATTGCCACCCCAAAATGTGGAATGCTTATTACTTTTTCTAAATTTAATTAAACATATGATTGTTCTATGTAATATGAAAAAAGCGAGGCCAATGAATCAGAGGATGACTAAAATAGTACTATGGTGCTCTTTGATGTAAAATCATAGAGTTTACATAACTGAGTGGAATCTGGCAATGATAACTCCTGTCATTATTCAACTTTTAAAGAGTTAAATCCTAAAGTTTGACTCCCTCCTACTGTAGTTCACGTAGATAACAATCAATGAGAAAATTATTAACGTAAATTCTACTTAGTACTTTTCCCTGAAGCTGTTGGACAAGATTCTTTTCATATCATGAATGAATAAACAAGAACCTAGTATTTTATCCATGTCATCTCTTAGACTTTGAAAGGCAGGACATTTGAATTGTAAGTTAGAATAATATTTTTTTCAGGATTGTTTTTGGACATGTACAAGGTAAAAGTACTATTCAAATTACTTAAAAATAAATGTTAGGTATTTGATACAATGTTTTGAGATGCTTAGTTAAACTCCAAGGATTTCTTTGAATTTTTACATTAAGTTATCAAATTCTTTTCAAATGAGGTTTTGGGGGAGATTATCTTGGCTATACTGGCTTTGGTAATAATTCCATTCATTTAGTGTACTTTATTTCCTGTTTTTAAAAATACTAGTTTTGATTCTGAGAAAATTAAGAAAGCCAGTGTGGTAAAGTCAGTTTTCTTTTTATGTAAAAATAAAAAGTCTTACTAATTTTACAAACTAGTTCTGCATTCTAAGTGTGAGGTTACATTAAAAAAATTTTCAAAACCTGCATTTTTCTTTTCTTTTTTGGAGAGGTGCTTGTTAGGTCACAATTGGAACTCTCAGCAGTATTGCAGTTCTTTCTACACTATTCTTGAAAATAGAGGAAATTTCTGCACTTGATACAGAACAGAGGTATTGTAAGTATAAAAGTTGCAGGGTAAAAATATCATCATACTGTATTGAAGAACTGTGTTAAAATAAGAGTGGAGTAATGGGCCATAGAAGAGACATGTCTTCCAAGATTGACAAATGACTAGGAAGAGAACACTGAGGATAAGAAAGACTTTAGTGGACAATGAGTGTTTAGAATTAGCTACCTTTTCTGAGGACAGAGGAATAATGGTTGTAGATGAAAGGGATTTATTTTACTTTCGAGCTTATTCACTCTCATTTGAGTGGATGGTCTCTATGTCCTACCAGCTGTTTGCTTTTAAGAAGAAAATATCTATTATCTTTTGGCTTCATCACCATGATGAACACTAATTATGAATAGTTTAGGCAGACTGATAGTAGTTAAAGAATCCAGTAAACAGTCTTCCCCAAACTGAGATATTTGGGCAGTCTTCTTTTGATTTATCTTATTGTAGTGAACTAGTACTATTGCTTCTCAAGTTTTATCATTATTTAACATTTCTCCATACAGTCATGTCTTAATGCTTTTTGTCATTCTCATTCTTCTTCTCCTTAGGTAGTATACTTTCCTACAATACATATTTTAACATTTTTTTCTTTCCTTCTTGGTTCTTTCCCTATTAAACTTCTCGCAGTTTCTAATGTGTAGTATGTGCAAAGAGTGCTTAACTAGCTACCTCTGTACTTTAGACATGATCTTTACTCTCTCTAGCGCCTTCTTGACACATCTAGAATGTAAGGGGATGGACTAAAGCAGTGTATCTCAGTGAAGATTGTCATAAATTGGGTTCCATGGAAACAAACTGAGAGGGAGAGTTGAATGCAGAAGTTTTACTGGTGTGTGTTCATAAGAGATACTTTTATAATGAAGTTGAGAAGGCAGGATTGGGCAGAGGGGGAAGCTAACCTGCAATAGGATACCAATTGAGGCACTCAGTCAATCATACAAGGAGCTATAGGAATAGGAAGGCCCTGTGGAATTGTCCCAAGTTGAAGCAAAGGAGTCAGCCATTGTTTCCTGTATCAGCAGACATCACCCATGGGTACCACCTGGGAGGGGGAATAATAACCGTGGGCAAGGCAGGTCTCTGCAGCAATGCCTGATGAAAGACACAGCTATGATTCAGAAATGAGCAATATTCCCTGAAACTGGGAATGGGCAGCCTTGAAGAGAGGACCTGGGTAAAGCACCAGTTCTACTGCTGGTACTTTCGGCAGGGGAATTCTTTGTTATATGGAAATAATTCAGGCATTGCAGGCATGTGGCATCCCTGGCCCACCCACTAGGACCATCAAATACTCTCCAAAATTTAAAAGTAATCCTTAGGAACCTGTTTGAAAATCACTGGAAATAACTGGGCACAAAGATTGCTCATGTCTACTGCGGCTCTAACGTTGTTTCTGGATGTGTGAGTGTATTCTGTATTAGAGTACTAGCTGATTAAAGTTAGAAAAAAAATCTGGCAAGTGAATGAATCTATTGTGAATCAAATAATGCTGTGCTGGACTTATTTGTCTATAAATAGTTATGTGGAATTACTGGGTATAAGGGCATGAAGATTTTAAAAAGCGTTGCTTTATATTGCCCTGCAGAGCAGTTGGACCAATTTATACTCTCATTAGCAATCTAGCAATCATGTCCTTTTACTTTTTTCTCCCTATTAACTTGAATCTCTGTAAATTTCATTGATATTGTGGATGGGGTCCAGGAAGGGAGGTAAGAAAACGCGGCTTGTGTAACATGCTGCTATGCCTAGTTTTTTTTTTTTTGAGACGGAGTCTCGCTCTGTCACCCAGGCTGGAGTGCAGTGGCACGATCTTGGCTCACTGCAAGCTCCGTCTCCCGGGTTCACGCCATTCTCCTGCCTCAGCCTCTCCGAGTAGCTGGGACTACACGCGCCCGCCACCACGCCCTGCTATGCCTAGTTTTATTCAGTTTTCACTAATGCTTCCAAGGACCACTTTGACAACACAGGAAAGAGCCAGGCAAAAGAGAGCAGTAGAATTGATAGGCACTTATTTACAACCAATATTTAAGAAAAACCAGAGCACTTAAAAGAGGTAAGCCCAATTAGCTGGGCGTGGTGATGCCCGCCTGTAGTCCCAGCTTCTTGGGAGGCTGAGGCAGGAGAATCGCTTGAACCCGGGAGGCGGAGGTTGCAATGAGCCAAGACCACACTGCAACTGCACTATGGCCTGGTGACAGAGTGAGACTTTGTCTCAAAAAAATAAAAATATAAATTAAAAAAATAAAAAAATAAAAAAAAGATAAGCACTTATAGGGAAGAAAATGGAAATGTTTTAAATTTTGACCATAGAATTCAAATGCCTTTGAAGGCAACCTTTGTTTCCAACTTAATAGATTTAGATTAGTTCAACTCTATCCTTTTAATATCTATTAACAGTTCAAAAAGAAGTATCTGCTGTTAGCTTAGTCTTGTTCCCAAGAGGCCAGCTGGTGCTGGGTTTGGCAGCTTTTCTGGAGAAAGACTCAATGAGTGTGGAGACTGAAATAACATACTTGTTTTGAGACTGAATGCTTTCAGAACATGATCGGAGACTTTAAAAATTAATTCCAGAAGTAGCCAACTATCATCTACGAATAGAAGAACCTGTCTTCCACATTTACACAGAATCCTTGATGTGATTAATTTCAGAATCCTTTATTTTCCGTTGTTTATTTTTTTCTGTAACTATGATTCACCCTCTAAATAATTAATCTGTCATCGTATTTTAGTGTGTTGGTAGGCACCATGGCATTTTTCTACACATTGTTAGAAAATGAGTCAGCCAATCAACAGTGTGTGTTGGATACTAATATTACATCACCCATTTTAGTTTAAAAACAAATTGACCAGCAGACATTTACAATTTTACTTTGGAAAGGCTAAAATTATAAGGGTTAGAGCAAGTATTAGCTATACCCCTTGATTTTAGATTTTAGAAGCAATGAATCAATTATCTTAAATGTGAAAAAAATAATACTAGGAAGACTAGTCTATTTTAGTGCAGCTGCAAAAAGAGAAAAACAGTATTTCTCTGTAAAAACAGATTGGTTTTCTTTAATTAATGTTTATGAGCCTATTAAAGATGAATATTTTAATATAAATTATTTGGTTGTAAGAAGTTTAATTATTACAAAGACAAAACATGTTTATTAAAGAAAAATCAGGAAATATTGAAACAAAAGGAAGAAAATAATATTTATGATTCAACTATTCATAGACAACCATGTTAACCTTGGTTAATATTTTTCCAAACTATTTTCTTTTCTTTCTTTGGTTACACCTTTCCAGACTTAAAAATATGTATTTGATTACATAAATTGTATTATGCTATAAATAATTATCCCCTAGCCTGCTTTAATCAAGCAACACTATGCCAAGAACAGCTTTCTAAATATTAATCTACTTTACTTTTCTAAACAAATGAATAACATATCATAGTATGGAAATACCATAATTTGATCAACAAACTGAGGGACACTTATGTTGTTTGAAAGATGTCACCATTTTAACTAATTTTTCCATAAATGCCTTTCTACACAACTTATTGAATGCTTGTTAGATTAGTTCCTTAGAAACATCCCTAGCAGTAAAATTACTAGTTTGAAGGCACATATATTTTGATATTGTTGTAGATTGCTAGATTCCTTTCCAGAGAACTTCTACCTGTGTATTCCCTCATTGTCAATGAAATGAGTCCCAACTTCCCCAGCACTGGGCATTAATAATCATAATAATTTTTGACAGATAGGTGAAAAGTATCAGATTGTTGTTTTAATTGTTATCTTTTGCTCATCAATGAGATCAATCATCTTTTAATTACTGTCCATTTTCATTTATTTTATGAATTGTCTGTATGTCTTCTGATTTTTTAAAAACAATCTTCATCTTTTTAAATCAACAATTTGTACTTTATTAAAGATATGCTGCAAATGTTTTGCTCAAAATTTTTATATCTTTTGACTTTGTTTATGGTGTATTTTTTGAACAGAAGTTATAATTTTACATGTCAAAACTTTTAATATTTTCCTGTATGATTTTTGGCTTTTTAGTCATGCTTAGAAAGAACAGCCTCAAGATAAAAATATTCTAATTTTTAAAATACGCTATTGGATTTTTATACATAAAATTTTATTTTGGGGACAGGTATGGTGGTTCATGCATATAATGCCAGCACTTTGGGAATCCCAGGTAGGAGGATTGCTTGAACCCAGGAGTTTGAGAGCAGCCTGGTCAACAAAGAGAGACTTATCTCTACAAAAATTTAAAAAATTAGCCAGATGTGATAGTGCGTGCCTGAGTAGCCTGAGTCATAGCTACTCAGGAGGATGAAGTGGAAGGATTTCTTGAACCCAGCAGTTCAAAGTTGCAGTGAGCATGATTGTGCCACTGCACTTGAGCCTGGGCAACAGAGCAAGACTCTGTCTCTAACAATGACAACAACAATAACAATAAAAGCTACTTCCTCTGTAGTTTATTTTTTGTGTGTTATGGTGTGTGATAGGATTTCCTCTTTCCCAAATGGAGGGTTATTGTCCCAATTATATTTATTTTATAATTCAATCTTTCCTATTTATTTCAAATTATCTTTTAATATTCTGAATTTTTTATTCTCTCCCATTAATATGTATGTTTGAAACAGAATAAAGGCATATTTGATAGTTTAGTCTCTCATGAGAATGATTCTAATGTTTCATTTCATCTAGGACCCCTTATGGACAGAACCCACTCTATGACCATTGCTGCCAGCTCTTGAGCTTGCTTTTGGTTTTATTACACATCCATTTGATGCCTATAACCTGAGAAAACTCCTTAATTTATCTGACCTTTGATTTATGCAGAAGTAGAATAAGAATCCTAATAGATAATGATAGAACCACCTCAATTAGATTGTTGTGTCTAGCATATTAGCTACTACTATTATTAGAACCTTGAGTTTTCCAATGGATTCATTTCCCACCCAGCAGTCAGAAAAGCTCGACAATGGTCACTTTCTGGACTGTCTTCAGAACTCATGGTCCACAATAAATGTGGAGCTCTTGCTCACTCTCTGTCTCTGCTTTTTGTCTTCTCACAAAGACCCATAACCTACTTCAAGAGAGAGTTAATAATTAATGGCATGAACTTTCTTGCATATGTTTCATGCTCTTGATATACATTATGATCTCTACTTCACAACTAAAAACCAAAACCAAAACAACCAAAAAATAAAAATAAAACAAACAACAATAAGAACAAACACCAGAGGCTCTGAGTGATTATATAGCTAGCCCAAATTTACACATCCAGGAAGGATCGCAATCAGGATTCCAATTCAGGCTTTTGGCTTTATGCAATTCTTCAAATAGTCAAACTTTTCAAGATTTTATCTCTGGACACTTGGCCTTTTGTCCTAGGATTTAAAAAATCTCCATTTAAATATTTTAAAAATGCAATTTCAATTTTTTCACATTCTAAACTTGGGAGCAAAGGTGCAAGTTAGGTAAGTATACCTTGACATCTTGTCCATCTTTGCAACAACTTATTTCCTTTATCTTGTGTTCCTTATGTGATTTTCTATACTTTCTATTAATCTCTGAAAACCTGGAAAGATATCAGTATCTTTTAACCACTTTGTCCTTCTTGGAAACATTTGTGGCAGTCAAGCCTTTCTCCACTTGTGGAAATCAAAATAAAACTACTTACAGAACAGAATGCGTGAACCTTCTCTGACTTTATATCAACCTTGATGACATTCCTGTTGTAGTGAATTCAACTAAAAGAAATTGTCAGATGTAAGGGCTATAGTCATTGCTGAAAGGGTGAAAATGTGGAGGCTTCTGTATTTGGAATAACTGAGGTTTCCAGTCAGCTTTTCATTTTCGGAAACCTTTAAAGACATTTAAGTCCTGCTTTTCTTCAGTTTTCTTATCCACTGCCTTATTCTTTAGGTATCAGGTGTTTATAGTTTTCATACTAAATTGTAGTGCCAAAAAAATCACCAGATGAACACATGCGTGTTCAGAAGACCCAAAGTCCTGAAATCGTTTTTTAGAGTGTGCCCAGAGTGATATAGTGAAACGTTACAAGTCAGTGTTGTTGGTGAATTATGACCAAGGCCATGGAAAACACATTGCTTTTTCTAGTGGTTGCATGATTATCATGCCTCTGATGATAAATCTGCACCCACTGAAAATGCAGTTAACTTACCTTGGTGATTTTGATTTATTAGCCTTGCGATGGACAAGGTTGCGCATTTGTTAGTGCTTGTTTTATATTTGAATAGCTTGGAAGCATATAAATTTGAGGCACAGCTTAGAGTTGGTTTAGCTATTTCATATTTCATAGAAAGCGTCTGATCAGAGAACTTTGGTTTCTGATATTTCTATTTTGACACTGTATAGTTTTTAGTATAGTGAGGATACCTGATTTACATTTTGGAGCATCTCTTTTCATGATCAAAGTTGAAGTTTCAGAGAACTGTCAGAACTATAACAGGAACAGGAAAATTGCCAGTGAAGAATCAACTTCATTTGGGGAGTAAAAGTTAGATGGTTTAAATAGAAGACATTGAAGGATTAGTGACTGACAAAATGTATTTTATTTAGTTTCTCTTTGAACTTTTGTTCAAAGTAGACATATGACCCTGAGGGCTTTTATTAAAAATGGTACTTAATATTAATTATTCAGAGGTATCTGCCAGCATTGGACTGGAATGGCATAAGAAGATTCTTGAATGAAAGTATGTGACTAGAATGACAGCTTAATGAATACGTATGGACTTGGAGTGCCAAAATGTAGAATAAATTATAGGGTTAAATTGACCATTGAAAAAGTTATTTGTTAGCCCTAGTTCTTTCATCTTCCTTATTACAACATGAAGCATAGCACATTAATAGGATCTTTGTAGTGTTAGTCCTTGTGTCAGGGTTTCTCAATCTTCACAATATTTTTTTTTATTATTATTATACTTTAAGTTTTAGGGTACATGTGCACAATGTGCAGGTTAGTTACATATGTATACATGTGCCATGCTGGTGTGCTGCACCCATTAACTCATCATTTAGCATTAGGTATATCTCCTAATGCTATCCCTCCCCACTCCCACCACCCCACAACAGTCCCCAGAGTGTGATGTTCCCCATCCTGTATCCATGTGTTCTCATTGTTCAATTCCCATCTATGAGTGAGAACATGCGGTGTTTGGTTTTTTGTCCTTGCGATAGTTTACTGAGAATGATGATTTCCAATTTCATCCATGTCCCTACAAAGGACATGAACTCATCATTTTTTATGGCTGCATAGTATTCCATGGTGTATATGTGCCACATTTTCTTAATCCAGTCTATCATTGTTGGACATTTGGGTTGGTTCCAAGTCTTTGCTATTGTGAATAGTGCCACAATAAACATATGTGTGCATGTGTCTTTATAGCAGCATGATTTATAGTCCTTTGGTTATATACCCAGTAATGGGATGGCTGGGTCAAATGGTATTTCCAGTTCTAGATCCCTGAGGAATCGCCACACTGACTTCCACAATGGTTGAACTAGTTTACAGTCCCACCAACAGTGTAAAAGTGTTCCTATTTCTCCATATCCTCTCCAGCACCTGTTGTTTCCTGACTTTTTAATGATCGCCATTCTAACTGGTGTGAGATGGTATCTCATTGTGGTTTTGATTTGCATTTCTCTGATGGCCAGTGATGATGAGCATTTTTTCATGTGTCTTTTGGCTGCATAAATGTCTTCTTTTGAGAAGTGTCTGTTCATATCATTTGCCCACTTTTTGATGGGATTGTTTGTTTTTTTCTTGTAAATTTGTTTGAGTTCATTGTAGATTCTGGATATTAGCCCTTTGTCAGATGAGTAGGTTGCGAAAATTTTCTCCCATTCTGTAGGTTGCCTGTTCACTCTGATGGTAGTTTCTTTTGTTGTGCAGAAGCTCTTTAGTTTAATTAGATCCCATTTGTCAATTTTGACTTTTGTTGCCGTTGCTTTGGTGTTTTAGACATGAAGTCCTTGCCCATGCCTATGTCCTGAATGGTAATGCCTAGGTTTTCTTCTAGGGTTTTTATGGTTTTAGGTCTAACGTTTAAGTCTTTAATCCATCTTGAATTAATTTTTGTATAAGGTGTAAGGAAGGGATTCAGTTTCAGCTTTCTACGTATGGCTAGCCAGTTTTCCCAGCACCATTTATTAAATAGGGAATCCTTTCCCCATTGCTTATTTTTCTCAGGTTTGTCAAAGATCAGATAGTTGTAGATATGCGGCATTATTTCTGAGGGCTCTGTTCTGTTCCATTGGTCTATATCTCTGTTTTGGTACCAGTACCATGCTGTTTTGGTTACTGTAGCCTTGTAGTATAGTTTGAAGTCAGGTAGCGTGATGCCTCCAGCTTTGTTCTTTTGGCTTAGGATTGACTTGGCAGTGCGGGCTCTTTTTTGGTTCCATATGAACTTTAAAGTAGTTTTTTCCAATTCTGTGAAGAAAGTCATTGGTAGCTTGATGGGGATGGCATTGACTCTATAAATTACCTTGGGCAGTATGGCCATTTTGACGATATTGATTCTTCCTACCCATGAGCATGGAATGTTCTTCCATTTGTTTGTATCCTCTTTTATTTCCTTGAGCAGTGGTTTGTAGTTCTCCTTGAAGAGGTCCTTCACGTCCCTTGTAAGTTGGATTCCTAGGTATTTTATTCTCTTTGAAGCAATTGTGAATGGGAGTTCACTCATGATTTGGCTCTCTGTTTGTCTGTTGTTGGTGTATAAGAATGCTTGTGATTTTTGTACATTGATTTTGTATCCTGAGACTTTGCTGAAGTTGCTTATCAGCTTAAGGAGATTTCGGGCTGAGACAGTAGGGTTTTCTAGATATACAATCATGTCGTCTGCAAAGAGGGACAATTTGACTTCCTCTTTTCCTAACTGAATACCCTTTATTTCCTTCTACTGCCTAATTGGCCTGGCCAGAACTTCCAACACTATGTTGAATAGGAGTGGTGAGAGAGGGCATCCCTGTCTTGTGCCACTTTTCAAAGGGAATGCTTCCAGTTTTTGCCCATTCAGTATGATATTGGCTGTGGGTTTGTCATAGATTGCTCTTATTATTTTGAGATACGTCCCATCAATACCTAATTTATTGAGAGTTTTTAGTATGAAGGGTTGTTGAATTTTGTCAAAGGCCTTTTCTGCATCTATTGAGATAATCATGTGGTTTTTGTGTTTGGTTCTGTTTATATGCTGGATTACATTCATTGATTTGTGCATATTGAACCAGCTTTGCTTCCCAGGGATGAAGCCCAGTTGATCATGGTGGATAAGCTTTTTGATGTGCTGCTGGATTCGTTTTGCCAGTATTTTATTGAGTATTTTTGCATCAATGTTCATCAAGGATATTGGTCTAAAATTCTCTTTTTTGGTTGTGTCTCTGCCTGGCTTTGGTATCAGGATGATGCTGGCCTCATAAAATGAGTTAGGGAGGATTCCCTCTTTTTCTATTGATTGGAATAGTTTCAGAAGGAATGGTACCAGTTCCTCCTTGTACCTCTGGTAGAATTCGGCTGTGAATCCATCTGGTCCTGGACTCTTTTTGGTTGGTAAGCTATTGATTATTGCCACAATTTCAGCTCCTGTTATTGGTCTATTCAGAGATTCAACTTCTTCCTGGTTTAGTCTTGGGAGGGTGTATGTGTCGAGGAATTTATCCATTTCTTCTAGATTTTCTAGTTTATTTGCGTAGAGATGTTTGTAGTATTCTCTGATGGTAGTTTGTATTTCTGTGGGATCGGTGGTGATATCCCCTTTCTCATTTTTTATTGCATCTATTTGATTCTTCTCTTTTTTTTTCTTTATTAGTCTTGCTAGCAGTCTATCAATTTTGTTGATCCTTTCAAAAAACCAGTTCCTGGATTCATTAATTTTTTGAAGGGTTTTTTGTGTCTCTATTTCCTTCAGTTCTGCTCTGATTTTAGTTATTTCTTGCCTTCTGCTAGCTTTTGAATGTGTTTGCTCTTGCTTTTGTAGTTCTTTTAATTGTGATGTTAGGGTGTCAGTTTTGGATCTTTCCTGCTTTCTCTTGTGGGCATTTAATGCTATAAATTTCCCTCTACACACTGCTTTGAATGTGTCCCAGAGATTCTGGTATGTTGTGTCTTTGTTCTCACTGGTTTCAAAGAACATCTTTATTTCTGCCTTCATTTCTTTATGTACCCAGTAGTCATTCAGGAGCAGTTTGTTCAGTTTCCATGTAATTGAGCAGTTTTGAGTGAGTTTCTTAATCCTGAGTTCTAGTTTGATTGCACTGTGGTCTGAGAGACAGTTTGTTATAATTTCTGATCTTTTACATTTGCTGAGGAGAGCTTTACTTCCAAGTATGTGGTCAATTTTGGAATAGGTGTGGTGTGGTGCTGAAAAAAATGTATATTCTGTTGATTTGGGGTGGAGAGTTCTGTAGATGTCTATTATGTCCGCTTGGTGCAGAGCTGAATTCAATTCCTGGGTATCCTTGTTAACTTTCTGTCTCATTGATCTGTCTAATGTTGACAGTGGGGTGTTAAAGTCTCCCATTATTATTGTGTGGGAGTTCTTTTAAATCTTACATGTTAAAAGTAGAGTCTTTCTCCTATGAGGCATCTTATTATTTTCTGTTGTCAGATTTGGTGTTCTTCACGAAGGAGCTTAGTCTGTACCTATACTGTTTGGAATAGAGAGCTCCCCCTGACATAGGCAGGATGATAATAATAGCCAATTATCTAATACATCACAAATAAGTATTCTGATTCTAGAATTCTTCTGATGCCCAAAGAAGACAGGCATATGTGAGAAGAAGCAATCAGAAGATTGGCAGGATTTAGGAATCTATTTGAAATATTCATTACCTATTTTGAATTGGTCTTAAAAATTTAAAGAAATATAAAGCTGGATAATTAAAGATAAATAATAAAGGAAGAATACAAGGTTTCTATGCTGTGAAGCAACTGAGATTATTATGATTTTGGGGCAGTGAATTTGTTTCTAGAAGTTTTGTTGGAACTAAGGCAGAAAGGTAAGTAATTAAATACTATCAATTGGCTTAAGTAGTATTAATTATCTGTTTCTTATAAAAAGCTTTACACACTTTCTGCAAGGCACATTTTTTTTTCTCATGGAATTTGTTCAAAGAAATAAGTTTTCTTAGGATTTGATAAAATTATGTTTATAAATTTTTTTGCTTAGATGATAAGATATATGGTTGACAATGTTTTTTGTTTTACAAGCTGTGAGCATATTTTCAATGAACTCTCCTGTGCCTTCTAGGAAGAAGAACAAATGACCTTGGAATGAAAAACTTTAAGGTAGAAGTTACTAATATACCACGTTGTCTGTATATAACAATTCAGGCCCCTTGGTCAGTGTCTGATTTTAAGCGGCATTGCATCCTCATGTGCCTTCAGTTATAAACTATACCCCCCATGTAGCTTCGTGAGTTGGTTTGCTTATTTGGGCTACTTAAAATTTTCCTTTTAAAGGCTAAATGATTTTGCCAAATTAAATATATTTAATGTTAATACTGAGCTGTTATGACTATTGTCAACAGAGACCACCACTTATTTGAGAAGCCTCTTACAAAGAGAAAATAAAATCATGCATTTTCAAAGAGTAGGATACTCTACTATTGCTTTATTTTTGTAAATCAACGCCATTACTAAATGTCTTTTACATATAGATTTTTAGAGTGCTCTTGAACACAGACATATTTAATCTCTTTAAAGACTGAATTGGAAGACTGAATGTGGCATGAGAAAAATCCTAGCTTTTAACTGTATATGATTCATACTCCAGAGTGGTCATATACAGAACCATCAGTATTATACATTTTTTACTCTTGATGGTCTCTGCCCATTGGGTCAAATGCTAATAATAGATCCAAGAGATAGGTCAAAGAAATTATTCAGAGAAATTAATCTTAACTGTTAATTAATCTTAACTGTCCCTAAGTGGGATGGAACAGAGGTGAATAGTGGTTTTAGAATAGCTATTCTGGATACCTGATTGATATTTGTCATTTGTTATGAAAAAAATCTGTTATAGAGTTCTAAAAACATACTAATAATATTTACAGTCTATTTTTTTTGGAATGATTAAGTATAAAGATATCACCTTGAGCATCTTGAAGTAATTACCCTGTATACTTAAGATAATTAGCTTGATAAAGACTGGGTTGTTCTTTCAGAATGGACTGTGAAAATAATTCTGGTGGTAAGAGATCATTTTCTAAAGCTGATTCCAATGTAGCATGACTAATTATATGTTTTCAAGGGGAGGAAGTTACAGGCTTGTAACATGATTTTTAATATGGAACTATCAACATGAATTATCATTTAGAGTGAAATTATTTGACCAGTATTTGATAGACATTTGTACTTCAATATTTCCTCTTGGAAGGTCTTGCAGTTTTAAAACATAATTCTCTGTATTTTAGAAGTTTAGGTAGTGTGCCAAAGTTTTTATTGCAATGAATATTAAAGAACTCAGGACCTAGGCTCCATCTGATTTTCTGTATCTTAACCATATCCAGAGAGTCTCCTGTTTACTTTTAGAAATGTAAAGGAATTCAGAAGATTTGTTTCAACTGCTTCCTATCATTCAGATACTTTCTTCATGAAGCCCTGGATTACAGCATGCTCATAATGAATTGCAGTTGTTCAATTATTGGGAGGTTTGTAATGAAGCTTTGGAGTTCTAAATGGGTCAGAGCAGGTTTTGCACTTTATCAGCTTGTGAGAAAATCCAAGTGGCACTCTGTGCTAAGGACTCTGGAATAATAATTTTGGCACCTGTTGGTCTCTATTTTTCTGAAGAGAGGGGGATATTATTGAGGACTAGCCAATAAATGAATTCTTTAAAGGTATTCCTTATCTGGAGATGAATCAGTTTGTTCTAGCTCAATATAAAGATGCTTAGATTCAAACAAGATTCTAGTAACTTAAGTAACTAAAGTGGAGTAGGGGAAGACATATAGGTATCTAATTACTTCTCAGATAGCTTTTATCCAGTCTCCTTATTTTAGGTTTCTATCTGCCTACCCATTTTTAATTCCCAGTTTTAGAGAAATTGGTACTGCTAGTTGCTGAGCATTTGGGGGTATCTGTTGTGTAACTAGTTAATTCTTGGCTTTTCCTGTCACTGACTTAAGATTGAGCTTTCTTGGGTGTAGTACTTCAATTACTTCTTGTCCACCTGCTTCTCAGCTTTAAAAATTTCATTGCCATTGTCTCCTGTCCTGTTCTTCCCATTCTTGTGGGTTCATGTCTTTTAAAAAAAAGATGCATTAGATACATTTGTTCAATATTTTATATTACCCTAGAACACCCTATTCAAGATGTACCTTTGAGTGGGAAACTGACAACCTCTTTCAGACGATAGATCTGAAGCTAATAGTACAGCAGGGTCTGGTGTAGAAAATTTACTTAGCTGAGAAGGATTTATTTTTTGAGTGGAAAGAAAAAAATAATAAAAATTTTCTTGTTTGGGGGATGCCAGGACTAAGAATGCTTTTTTTGTGAAGTAACCCTTAATCCAGCCCCATCATGTGAATTTTGAATATTAAGACAAAATGTAATATTTTAATGCAATGAAAAAGTTCACCGAGGTTTAAATATAGCCTGACATTTCTGCAAAAAGATGCTCATTAACTCTGAGATATTAATGTAGCTGACTGATAACCAGGATTAAGTTGTTGATTTTTAAAACTATTACAACAAAGTAAAATGCTAGAGGCTTTTATCATGACCAGAGAGGTCTGCATTGTCACCTGGGTGTAGGGGAGGGCAAAATACACAATTAGCCAGAGCAGAGGTTCAGCTTCAATTTATGTCAGTGAAACTGAAGGCCGAGAGTAAGTAGTTCCTTCTCTTTGCATTTTATACCTGGTATAAGGGCAGAAATAAAGTACACTGTCAATCAAAGCAAAAAGGTAGTCCTAATCACGTCAAACCTAATTTATTAACAATAATGATATGATAGCATTGTAATTATGAATGTTATTCCAAAATTTTAGATAATAGCTAAATTTTAAGAGAATACTCTGTAAATACTGTTTGAGGAATAGTGGATTTTACTATCCTCAAAGGATAGTGTGTGTGTGTGTGTGTGTGTGTGTCTGTGTGTGTGTGTGTGTGTGTGAGAGAGAGAGAGAGAGAGAGAGATCTAGAAGGTAGAATGGATAAAATGAAAGGAAGAAATTTAGCATGAGGTTTCTTTTCCAGTATATTGTTATTTGCATCTTCACAATATACAGAGCTATATCATATATTTCTGGTGCTCATTCCCATCCTCCAATTAAAAGTTAAAAAACATGTAACTAATCTAAAAAGGGTCACTTCCACAACAAAGGATTTGCCCTTTGTCATAGTGATATTTGGTGTTTAAGGATGACTCTTAGGAATATGGCTCCAAATTAAAAGAAGCATTTGTATTTCTCAGTTCACCCAAAGGAGTAATAAACCATACTTTGACTTCTGAAGTCTGTTTCAAAGTCAAATGCCTTCCTTTGAGAGTACTTTGCTGCTCACTTATAAAACTGGAAAAGGGCATTTCAGTCAATGCTTTATTCTCCTAGTTAGGAATGGAGGCTGAGTATGTGGCCACCAACATGGATAATTTAAGGAACTCTTAGAAGGCCCTTCTATCAAAACATATCTCCCTGAATGAAGCCTATATATTTCTCTTTACTTTTTTGAACTGTTTGAAATTCTGCATGTTACAGAGTCACTCAGATTACAGTGTCCTCTTTTAAAAGAAAAATATCCCAGGGAGGGTTAAGTAGTCTGTTAATCAATTATTCACAGTCCAGTGTGGCTTAGTTTAATTAAATTGCTTTTCTGTAGTTATGGACATTTTGATGGAGCCCAGGAAGAGAGAAAAAGGAAATAATTTAGTCCTCGGGATTGTTCAGTATAAGGCAAGCCTGAGCTGAGAGCACTGAAGTGGGTTCACTATTGTCATCCAAAAGGCAGAATGAGGACCCTGGATACCTGGGAGTGGGGCAGAGGAGACAGGAGCTAAGAGAGGAAAAGAGAAAGAGAAGCAGGGAAATGCCAAAGATAAACTTTGACATATTGTGGATCAGTCCATTCACTATCATAAAAGCTTTTACGTTAATATTGTTGGGTACTGTGCTGAAATGGTTTTGTATTTCTTTTTTGAATTTGTTTTTTGTTTTAATATATATCTTGATATTTTGGGAAAAAGAATGTAGATAAGCTGTATTAGAATGATGCCACAAACATACAGTACTATGTATATGTTATTCATTAAACATGGTTATGGATTAATTATTATCCAAAGCAAGGAGAAAAGCCCAGAATTACTCAGTTAAATAATTTGGAAACTCTGTTGATGGAAAGAAATCACCAGATTTCTATCAAAGATGAATTTTTTTCATGTGCTTTTGGTACATGGCAGGGATAATGCAATGTAGTTGTGTCCTTGGTAGACTTGAAAGATATTTCAGTTCAAGCAGGTGCCTCTTTTTAAAGGCTTGCTCTAAATTGTAAAGACTTTGAAATATAATCCACTTATTTTAGAAATTTTTAGGCTTGTTCTTCTTATAGAACAGTATCTATGAGTAGAAAAGCAAGCTAAGAAATCTAACCAATCTTGGTTAATCACACCAATGGGAAACTGACAGCTATAGCAGGGTTCAGGCACCACCTACTACTTCGAGTGTTTAATTGGCAGATATGTTACATAGGAGGAATGAAATATCATTCATACAAACTTGGCAAAGTTTGGCGGGTTATATAAATTCAAATATAATAGCTAGGGTGATCACATGATTTATCACCCAATCCAAATCCAGACGGTTTTGAGAGTGAAAGGTGATGTTCAAAATAATTAAAATTATATGTTTTGGGCTGGGCATGGTGGCTCACGCCTGTAATCCCAGCAATTTGGGAGGCTGAGGTGGGCAGATCACGAGGTTAGGGGTTTGAGACCAGCCTGACCAACATGGTGAAACCCCGTCTCTACTAAAAAAATACAAAACTTAGCCGGGCGTGGTGGCACGTGCCTTTAATCCCAGCTGCTCAGGAGGCTGAGGCAGGAGAATCGCTTGAACCTGGGAGGCAGAGGTTGCAGTGAGCCAAGATTGCACCATTGTACTCCAGCCTGGGTGACAGAGCAAGACTCTGTCTCAAAGAAAAAAAAATTATATGTTTTTGAAATAATATGTATCCCTCTATTAATAGGTTTATTATCTTGGTATAAGCACTCCAACTTTTCTTTTTTTTTTTTTTTTTTGGAGATGGTGTCTTGCTCGGTCATCCAGGCTGGAGTGTAATGGCGCAATCATGGCTTACCACAACCTCTGCATCCTGGGCCCAAACAATCCTCCTGCCTCAGCCTCCCAAGTAGCTGGAATTACAGGCATGTGCCACTGTGCCCCATGATGGGTTTCATCATGTTGCCCAGGCTGGTCTCGAACTCCTGGACTCAAGTGTTCCACCCACCTTGGCCTCCCAAAGCGCTAGGATTACCGGTGTGAGCCACCATGTCCAGCCCGTACTCTAACATTGTAATACCTGTGGGGAGGAAAAAGCAGCTGATCTATGACCGAGGGAGGAGTTGGAGATAAGATATATATCTGTATATCTACAGAGAGAGAGAGAGGAAAGAAACCTGGAAATGTGCTAATCAGACACTCGGTATTTATTAAGGAAAAGAGATAACTGAGAGTACTTGTCTGTGGAATATTTTCAGCAGAAAATATCTGATCTATCTGGGTTGCTTATGGTAAACAATAGGATTGAAAGATTTCTGGTGCATATCCTGTTTGAAATTGTCAATGTCAGTTTTAGGTAATTATCAGAATATGAAATGGAGATGCTTTATGATCAAAATAGCTCCCACTCCGTAAGTAATGCCTCTCATGCATCATTTGGTGATTACATGAGTTAGATGTGGACCAGAGCACATCCTAATGTGGCAAGGATCAGTCGAGGAGTTGTATTGTTGCCCTCAGACTTCTTTAGGTGTTGCCTGTGTATCAAGCTTACTTTTATGTTTTGAAATTACTAAAGTTTGATACTGGGTAAGATTTCTTATTTTATTGGCAATTCAATTATTTTCTGGTCTCAAACTATAAAATACTCCTATTCAAATACTATTTTCAAAAATAAAAATCTTTAAGTCAATTAAAATAAATATGTCCGTATACATTAAAGCTAAACAAACAAAAAACCCACTTGGTTATCTGACTATCAAAAAAATGACTATAAGCGGAATAGCCATTTTTGGGAAGTATTTGTATACTGTAAGATTGTTCTTAGCCTATCTGTTTTTATTATAGTGACACCAGTATTTGTCTGAAAATCGTATTTTTCAACTGTTTTTTTTTTCTTTTTGAGACAGTCTCATTCTGTCTCCAGGCTGGAGTGCAGTGGTGTGATCTCGGCTCACTGCACCCTCTACCTCCCAGGTTCAAGCGATTCCCCTGCCTCAGCCTCCCGGGTAGCTGGGTTTTTCATAAAATTGAACTTGTTGATACCTTCAATGAATCTTGTCTAAGACCACACTATTTTTAACTGAGAAAACACTCTCTGCAGGTGCTGAGGTGCCTGGTAAGTTCAGGACAAATATTAAATGAAGGATATCCTTAGTTCTTATTTTTTCAAAATATTAAAATGTGTAAATATTCCAAACCAAACATCTTCAAAAGTGTTTGCTACCTTTTTACTTCCATTTAGAGTAACTTTCTTCAAAAAATTATCTTACAAGACAACTCATCAAATTTGTTTCTATTTATAATTTCTATGAATATTTCACAAAACTTAGATACTACAGTCATACCCTTCTAAATTTCATTACATTCTGATAGAGGATATATATTTATCAACTTAAAAATAAGCACTTCATCAAGATTCCTCTCCCAAGTTGAGAAACTTGAAGCACAAATATAGATTTTCTTTATTTGATTTTTTATGATACATTGTACATATTTTGGGGATACATGTGGTATTTTGATACACGTATACAATGTGTAATGATCAAATCAAGGTAATTGAGATATCCAACACCTCAAACATCTACCTTTTTGTGTTAAGAACATTATAATTATTCTCTTCTAGATATTTTGAAAACTATGATAAATTATGATAAATTATTAACTATAATTTCTTTACTGCACTATCAAATATTAGAACTTATTGCTATGTAACTGTATTTTTGTACTCATTAGCCAACTTTTCTTCATCCCTTCTGTCTCTTCTAGTAACCACTATTCTATTCTCTATCTCCATGAGACACACTTTTAGCTCCCTCATATGAGTGAGAACATGCAATATTTGTCTTTCTGACTGGCTTATTTCACTTAACATAATGACCTCCATTTCCATCCACGTTGCTGCAAATGACAGGATTTCATTATTTTTATGGATGAATAATATTGCATTGTGCATCTATACTACATTTTATCCTTTTATCCACTGATGAGCACTTAGGTTGATTCCATATCTTGCCATTGTGAATAGTGGTGCAATGAACATAGGCTTGCAGATATCTCTTAAATATACCAATTTCCTTTCTTTTGGAAATATGCTCAGCAGTGGAATTGCTGGATCATATGGTAGTTCTATTTTTAGTTTTTTGAGAAACTTCCATACCATTCTTCACAGTGACTATACTAATTTACTTTCCTATTGATAGTGTAAAAGTGGTAGCTTTTCTCCACGTCATCACCAGCGTTTGTTATTTTTTGTCTTTTTAATAATAGTATTCTAACTGGGGTGAGGTGGTTTTGACATGCATCTTCCTGGTGATTAGTGATGCTGAACATTTTTTCATATACCTGTTGGCCATTTGTGTGTCATCTTTTAAGATGTGTCTATTCAGGTCTTTTGACCACTTTTAAAATTGGATTATTTGTTCTTTTTGCTATTAATTTTTTTTCCCTTATATATTCTGGCTATTAATTCCTTGTCAGATGGGTAGTTTGCAAATATTTTCTCCCATTCTATGGGTTGTCTCTTCACTTTGTTGATTGTTTCCTTTGCGTGCAGAAACCTTTTAGCTTGATGTAATCTCTTTTGTCTATTTTTGCTGTGATTGCCTGTGCTTTTGAGATCTTACCTTCCAAAAAAAACTTTGCCCAGACTGATGTCCTGTAGCATTTCCTCAATATCTTCTCATAGTTTCTAGTTTCAGTTCTTACATTTAAGTCTTTAATCCATTTTCAGTTGATTTTTATATATGGCAAAAGATGAGTATCTAGCTTAATTCTTCTACATATGGATATCTAGTTTTCCCAGCACAATTTATTTAAAAAGAGTCTATCCCTTCCCCCAGTGTATGTTCTTGGAGTTTTATGTCAGTACCATGGTGTTTTGATTACCGTAGCTTTTTTAGAATAATTTGAAATTAGGTAGTGTGATATTTCTAGCCTTGCTTTTTTTGCTTAGGATTGCTCTAGCTATTTGGGGTCTTTCATGATTCCCTATGAGTTTTAGGATTTTTTTTCTATTTCTGTAAGAATGTCTTTGGTATTTTGATAGGGATTGTGTTGGATATGTAGATTGTTTTGGATAGTATAGAGATTTTAATAATATTCATTCTTCTAGTCCATGAGTGTGAAATATATTTCCATTTTTTTGTGTCCTCTTCAATTTATTTTATCAGTGTTTTGTAGGTTTTCTTTTAGAGATTTTTCACCTCTTTGATTTAATTTATTCCTGTTTTGTAGCTATTGTAAATGGGATTGTTTTCTTGATTTTTTTGTAAGATCGATCACTGTCAGTGTCAAATATACATTTTCAAAATTAAATCATGTATGTTTTTTAAGCTCTCATAGTTTGATTTGTTTATCCTTCCTTTGCTTTTGCTGTGATACATGTATAGATTTTTCTGTTTACAAGCTTGTTTTCAAAAATTGCAATTTGTGAAAAGCTTCAAGGTCATAAGATTTTTGATCCTTTATTTACTGATGACTTTTATTAAAAATTTCCAGCTATTATTTAATAAAATGTAACCAGGGACTTACTTATAAAAGTTCATTACCATTTCTCAATTTCTAGGCATAGAAAGACAAATATCACCTGTTCCTACTCATATGTAGGGGCTAAAACAAATGTATCTCATGAAGGTAGACAGCAGAATGCTGGTTACCAAAGACTGGAAAGAGAAGAAGGGAAGAAGGATGAAGGGAGATTGGTTAATGGGTACAAAAATACAGTTACATAGGAGAAATAAGTTCTGGTATTTGATAATACAGTAGAGAAATTAGAGTTAGCAACAAGTTATTGTATATTTCAAATTAGCCAAAATAGAATAAGTGTAATGTTCTTGACACGTAAAATAAGATAAATCTTTGAGGTGACCGATATACCTCCTTAAAAAATAACTAAACTAAATTAAATAAATAATATCCTGGAAAAATAATCCATTTGAGCTGCAAAGAAAGAAAACACATAATACCATGCTAAAGCATGTACATAAAAATTAACAGCTTTTTACAAAAATTCTTTTAAATTAATATATTTAATATTTCTATATATAATTCTTTGCATATTTTGACAATCAAAGTTTCTATTTCATTTGGCAGAATATCATAGCTCATTTTGGATGTGAATGTATATATTATGTGTGTACCAAAACCAACTCCAATTATATTTCTCCAAGCTTTATTAATTTAGCAAAGCCATCGTAACTTGTCATTGTGCACTACCAAAATTCATATTAACATCAAAAAACAAATAATTTAATCTTCAACATTGAATTTTTAAGCTGATGTTACATGCATATTCACAATACTATCTGATGTTTAATTTTGACAGACTAAAGACCCAGAAGCTTTAATTTCAGTCCAAGAATTAGATGAAAAATAAAAATCAAACACTATTGGAATTAACTGTTTTTTTCCTTCAAAGCAACTGATGACATTGATATGAAATTGGAAATATTTAACCATTTGCAAATTCTTTTTATGCTAATGGAGCCAACATTTCAACAGCTATTACTTCACTTTTTATTTGTGTAATGAAAAAATTTAGAATTAAAAATATACAAAGTTGTTTTAAAAGCCTTATCTGATCTAAATGAAAGGTCATGTTTCACAGAGTGACACATAAAAATATCTTCTGCAGCTACATGTTAAATTTTAAGATAATTTTAAAACAGATGCTGATATTTCTTCAGGATGTTTGTTCCTCTTGGTTTCATGTGGCTAGAAATGACCATCCCAAAGGATGGAAAATGTCGAAAAACACTTTGTGTCAGTTACACATTTATTATGAACTCTCTAGAGAAAAGAAAATTCATTGCTCATTTTTTATTTAACATGTACCTTTTTGAGCTAATTTCCCAATAAAGGATTTATTTAAAAACAAACAGAAAAGCATTTCCAAGAAATAAAATGAATGAATCACTGTAGATATACAGTATAGAATAAAATTTAAAAACTACATAGCAAGAGTACTCATACTATTCTCTATATGCTCAAGAGCAGATTAAAATTTCTTACACATATTCATGCAACTCTAGCCTATAATTTCTCATATTTCTTACTGCTCATTACTGGTGGCTTGACAGCTTTATGAATGGTACAAACCTAAGGATAGAACACTTCACAACTGGCTTTTCCTTTAAGTGGCCAACAGGGCAGCAATGTGAATACTTCTCCCATCATCATTCAAGATTAGAGGCAGTTATATGTTCCCAGCAGGTTGCATCCTACTTCGTGCACTTCATTTTACTAGTAAATGCCCTAGATGCTATTCTTGAAAGGGATGTGCTACTTATACTGTATCCAGAAAGTGTCCGTGGAAAAGAGGGAAATACACTAAATATCTTTCAAATTTAATCATGTATTAAAGTGAGAAATCTGCCCACTGCACAACTGTTTATCTCACATGTTACTAGAAAAGACCACGATAGAAGTTAGAATTAAAAAGTGGAGGTCTACCAAGCCCATCTGGATTATTTTAATGCAACTATTAATAACAATACTTCTTTTCTAAAAAAGGGATAAACATACAGGGCAAAAATTAAATAGGCAAAACTTCCAGTTTCTGGTCTGACATGTCAGCTTGGAAGTCAACACTTCTGTCTTCACAACAAGAAAAAAGCTGAACAAACTGAAAGTCAACAACTCTTCTTAGATTCTTTAGACAGTTGAGGTCACAGGGCAGTCTGTCACTCTGTAAACTGGAGAGACAGGCAGATACAGAGAATCACAGCTCATTGGCAGTGGAAACTGCTGCTAGAACCTGGAAGGGACACTTAAAGGGTAATTGACTACTGAAGACTGAGTGTGGACTTTCTTGAGAAATAAAAATTCCCAGGGTCCTAGCTTAAGGAAGGCCCCCATACTTTGTAAATTTTGTGTCCAGGAGCTCTACTAGGTTGTCATGGTGAAGATTAAAGAAAAATCCTCTTGTGCTTCTGTCAGGGTGAGGGAGAAAGTAACTGTTTTGAAATAAGCCCACAGTGCTCTCTTCTCCTTAATAATGACCTGCCCTCAAGGAAAACTATCTTACCAGAGCCAAATCTCCTTGGGTTTTACAAAAGCCTAACCAACTTGAGGAAAGGGAAATACTCAACTCCAGCCTCCTATAGCCTTCCATGTGGGGAAGGAAAATATCTAGTGCCAGCCCCCTCCAGCCATCTTGTATCACCTAAGGGGAGGAGGGAGAAGCTAAGAAGCACTTTTGAAGATCACAACCCAAGGGCAGAGGCTCATTAAAAGACTGAGACCCTCAGAAGATTATAGAACATTTCCTCTCTCATCTTACCACCACATCAATAGGGCCCTTATACAATAACAGAAAATTATAACTCAAAGAACTGCACATCTCAGACCCTATTTAAGAAATAGTCTGTAGGGAAACCCAGAGATGACTGAGGAGAAAAAACAAAAACACTAGCAAAAATGTTGACACCTATAAGAGAAGCAAATATAGACACAGATAAACTTCTAGCCAGATAAACATAAAACTCCACACTAAAGGTGTATTTACCCCAGTTCCTTTTCATGCAACTGTCCAGCTTTAAAAAAAATGAGGCATTCTAGAAGGCGAAAAGCACACTCTGAAGAGACGAGACAAACATCAGAATCAGACTCAACTGTACCAGAAATTTTTGAATTATCAGATTGGAAATCAAAGGAAATGTGAGAAATGAAGAATGCCTTTGACATGCTTATTAGTAGGCTGAAGATGGTCAAAGAAAGGCTCAATGAGGTTGAATAAATGTCAATAGAAACTTCCAACCTTCTCTCAAAGAGAAAAAAGAATAAATGAAAAAGGAGCAGAGTAAGAACTGTGGGACAATTACAAATGTTGTAATATGCATATGGTGGAAATATTAAATTTCCCATTATATAATATATTACATGGGAATTGTCCTTATGATGGCACATAACATGATATAGGAAGGGAAATAGACAAAATCAAGATTATGGAAGGATTTTTTTCTTGAACACGATCTATGTCTCAGAAAGCTTTAATGACGTTCCATACCAAATATTCAAGAGTATATGCAGGCTCTGGAACTAGAAGGCTTGGGTATAAACCTCAGTTCCATTGTTTACTAGCACATGGATCATGGGCAAGTTACTGCATCTGTCTGAGGATCAGTTACCTTATAAAATTGGGCTAATCATAGAGTCTAACTCATGAAGTTGATGTGATGATGAAATGAGATCATATATATTAAATTTTTAGGATTGTTCCTGACCTCCAAACATAGAACATTAGAAAGTATTGTCATTGTTGTCATATGTAGAGCAGCATTTTTCCGAGTGTCTTCTGTAGAACACAAGATTCTAGGGGTGTTAAGAATTACCAGAAACATGCTCCACAATAAAGAACTTTTAGGAAATATCTGACTACATAAAGAATTTTTAAAAGTCTCTTTACTATATAACCTTGAAAATGTTATGTATTTTAGAGAAGGGGAATTAATATGAAGCATTTCTCAAATACATTTGTCATCCTAAAAGAAAGAAGCTGAGGTACAAAATATAATTTAGAGTTTACTTGAGCCAAAGTTAGGAAAGCTTCCCAGGACATACTTTTATGTTGCCTTGGAGAATGCTCCATTAGCTTTTGTTACAAGCAGGTTTTCAAGGGCAAAGGGAGCAAAAAGTGGGCCAATACAAGTTGTTTGACAGGAATTCTCATCAGTTAACAGAAACAACATTGGTAGTGATTGGCTGTACATCACTGAACTATAGGTTATGAGTTATGGTGTCTAGCCTGTGGAATTTTTATGGCTACTTGGTGTCAGTCAGTCAAGAGCCAACACAGCCAGTGACTACGAGAGGTAATATTTAGCTCGAGGTGAAGTGAGATGTGACTGCTGTCACATTTTAAATGCTTCTGTTGGCCTGATAATTTTAAGGGGCTTACATTCGTCAGATGAAAAGTTTTTTTTTTTTCCCTCTTTCACATTTGACTGCAGAACATTTTTAAAAGGCTCATCCTAGGGGACTAGTTTTGCATGAAGCATACTTTGGGAAACATGACTTTTACATATTGGCTGCCACTTAAATCCTTTAAAATTTGGCCTAATTTAACTTATCAAACTGTATAAGCCATACTTCTTTTTTGTTTTATATTTCTATTCTTTTAATTTTTTGTGGCTACATAGTAGATATATATATATTAATAGGGTACATGAGATGTTTTGAAACAGGCATGCAATGCATAATAATTACATCATGGAGAATGGGGTATCCATCCCCTCAAGCATTTGTCTTTGGTGTTACAAACAATCCAATTATACTAGTTTAGTTATTTGAAAATGTATAATTATTTTTGACTATAGTCACCCTGTTGTGCTATCAAACAGCAGGTCTTATTTATTCTTTCTATTTTTTTTGGTACCCATTAATCATCCTCACCTTCCCTCCAGTCCTCCACTACTCTTCTTAGCCTCTGGTAATCATCCTTCTACTCTCTATGTCCGTGGGTTCAATTGTTTTGATTTTTAGATACCACAAATAAGTGAAAACATGTGATGTTTGTGTTTCTGTCCCTGGCTTATTTCATTTAACATAATGATCTCCAGCTGCATCCACGTTGTTGCAAATAACAGGATCTCATTTTTTTATGGATGAATAGTACTCCATTGTGTATAAGTACCATATGTTCTTTATCCATTCAACTGTTGATAGATACTTAAGTTGCTTCCAAATCTTGGCTATTGTGAACAGAGCTGCAACAAACATGGGAGTGCAGATATCTCTTTGATATACGGATCTCCTTTCTTTTGAGCATATACCCAGCAGTGGGATTGCTGGATCATGTGATAGCTCATTTTTTAGTGTTTTTGAGGAACCTCCAAACTGTTCTCCTTAGTGGTTGTACTAATTTTACATTCCCACCAACAGTGTACGAGGGTTCTTGTTTTTTTTCCACAACCTCACCAGAATTTGTTATTGCCTGTCTTTTGAATATAAGCCATATTTGTTGGGGTGAGATGATCTCATTGTAGTTTTGATTTGCATTTCTCTGATGATCCATGATGTTAAGCACCCTTTCATATGCCTGTTTGTCATTTGTATGTCCACTTTTGAGAGATGTCTATTCATTTTGCCCAAAAACTTTGCCCCCAAATATTTTGCCCCAAAAATGCCCAAAGGATAACTTTGGCTATTCGGAGTCTTTTGTGATTCCATATCAATTTTAGAATTTTTTTTCTATTTCTGTGAAGAATGTCATTGGTATTTTGATAGGGATTGCATTGAATTTGTGAGTGCTTTGGGAAGTATGGACTTTTTAACAATATTGACTCTTCCAATCCATAAACATGGAATATCTTTCTGTTTTTGGTGTCCTTTTCAATTCTCTCATTAGTGTTTTATAGTTTTCATTATAGAGATCTTTCACTTCTTTGATTAATTCCTAGGTAAATTTATGTGTGGCTATTTTAAATGAGGTTACTTTTTGATCCATTTTTCATATTGCTCTCTGTTGGCATATAGAAATGCTACTACTTTTTCTGTGTTGACTTTATATGCTGCAAATTTACTGAAATTTTTTTCAGTTCGAATAGTTTTTCAGTGGAGTCTTTAGGTTTTTCCAAATATAAGGTTATATCATCTGCAAACAAAGATAATTTGACTTTTTCCTTTCCAGTTTGGATGCCCTTTATTTCTTTCTCTTGTCTGATTGCTCTAGCTAGGACTTCCAGTACTAAGCTGAATAACAGTGGTGAAAGTAGGCATTCTTGTGTTCCAGATTTTAGAGGAAAGGGTTTCAGTTTTTCCCCACTCTGTATGATTCTAGCTGTGAGTCTGTCATATATGGCTTTTATTATGTTGAGATATGTTCCTTCTATACACATTTTTTGCAGGCTTTTATTTATGAAGTAATGTTGAGTTTTATTAAATACTTTTTTAGGTGTTAATTGAAATGATCATTTGGTTTTTATTCATTATTCTGTTGATATGATGTATCACATTGATTGATTTCCATATGTTAAATCATCTATGCATCCCAGGGATACATTCCACTTGGTCATGATGAGTGATCTTTTTAAAGTATTGCTGAATTTGGTTTGCTAGTATTTTGTTGAGGATTTTTTCATCAATATGCAGCAGAGATATTTGCCTGTAGTTTTCCTTTTTTGGTATCTTTGTCTGGTTTTGGTATCAGGGTATTACTAGATTGTGGAATGAGTTTGGAAGTATTCCCTCCTTCTCTATTTTTTAGAATAGTTTGAATGGAATTGCTATTAGTTATTTATATGTTTGGTAGGATTCATCAGTGAAGCCATCAGGTCCTGGGTTTTTTTTTGTTTTTTTGTTTTTTTGTTTTTTTACTGGTAGACTTTTTATTACAGCTTCAACCTTGTTACTTACTACTCATCTGATCAGGTTTTGGATTTCCTCTTGATTCATTCTTAGTAGGTTTTATGTGTCTTGGAATCTGTCCATTTCTTCTAGATTTTTCAATTTATTGGCATGTAGTTGCTCATAGTAGCCACTGATGATCCTTTGAACTTCTGCAGTATCAGTTGTAATGTCTCCTTTCTCATCTCCGATTTTACTTCTATCTTCTTTCTTTTTTTCTTAGTCTAGCTAAAGGTTGGTCATTTTAGTTTAACTTTTAAAAAACCAACTTTTTGTCTCATTGATCTTTTGTATTGTTTTGTTCATTAGAATTTAATTTATTTCTGCTCTAATCTTTATTTTTTTTCTTCTACTAATTTTGGGTTTTGTTTGCTGTAGCTTTTCTAGTTCTTTTAGATGCATCATTAGATTATCTGAAGTTTTTCTTCTTTTTGATGCAGGCACATATAGCTATAAACTTTCCTTTTAGTACTTTTCTGCTGTATCCCATGGGTTTTGGTATGTTGTGTTTCCATTTTTATTTTTTCAAGACCTTTTTCAATTTCCTTATTAATTTCTTCATTGACCCACTGGTCTTTCAGGAGCATATTGTTTAATTTCCATGTATTTGTATAGTTTCCAAAATTCCTCTTTTTATTGATTTCTAGTTTTTTTCCATTGTGGATAGAGAAGATGCTTGATATTATTTTAATTTTTTGAATGTGTTAAGCCTTGTTTTGTGATCTAACACATGGTCTGTCCTTGAGAGTAATCCATGTGCTGAGTGAAAAAAAAAAAATAAAGGATGCATATCTTGCAGCTCTTGGATGAAATATTCTGTAAATATCTATTAGATCCAATTGGTGTATAGTGCAAATTAAGTCCAATGTTTCCTTTTTGATTTCCTGTGTGGATAGTCTGTCCAATGCTTAACGTGGAGTGTTGAAGTCTCCACCTCTTATTGTATTGGGACCCATCTCTCTCTCCAGCTCCAATAATATTTGCTTTCTATATCTAAATGCTAAAGTATTAGATACATATATATGCACCCTCTTGCTGAATTGACACCTTCATCGTTATATAGTGAACTTTTTTGTCTCTTATGGTTTTGTCTTGAAATTTATTTTGTCTGATATAAGTATAGTGACTCCTGCTCTTTTTTGATATCTATTGGAATGGACTATCTTTTTCCATCCCTTTATTTTCAGTCTATGTGTGTTTTTACAGGTGAAGTGTGTTTCTTGTAGGCAACAGATAATGGGTCTTATTTTTTCATTCATTCAACTACTCTCTGTCTTTTGATTGGAGAGTTTAGTCCATTTACCTTCAAACATATTATTGACAAGTAAGGACTTACTCCTGCCATTTTGTAATTTATTTTCTGAATGTTTTGCTGTCTTTACTTCCTTCTTGCTTTCCTTCTTGTCTTTCTTTAGTGAAGGTGATTTTCTCTGGTGACACAATTTAGTTTCTTGCTTTATATTTTTTGTGTATTCATTGTATGCTTTTTGGCCTGAGGTTATCATGAGGCTTGCAAATACTATTTTATAACCCATTATTTAAACCTGATAACAACCTAACACTGTTTGCAAAAACAAGCAAAAAGAAAAGTAATAAAAACACTATGCCTTAACTTTGTCCCCCTACTTTTTAACTTTTTTCTTGTTTCTATTTGTATCTTATTGTGCTATCTATGTCTTGAAAAGTTGTTGTAGTTATTATTTTTGATTGGTTCATTACTAGTTTTTCTACTTATGACAAAAGTAGTTTACACACCACAGTTACAGTGTTGTAATATCCTGTGTTTTTCTGTATAATTACTATTACCAGTGAGTTTTGTACCTTTAGATGATGATTTATTGCTCATTAATGTCTTTTTTTTTTCTGATTGAAGTACTCTCTTTAGCATTTCCTGTAGGACAGGTATGGTGTTGATGAAATCACTCAGCTTTTGTTTGTCTGGGAAAGTCTTTATTTCTCCTTCATGTTTAAAGGATATTTTTTATCATAGTATGCTATTCTAGAGAAAAAGTTTTTTTTTTTCTTCAGCATTTTAAATATGACATGCCACTATTTCCTAGTCTGTCAGGTTTCCATTGAAAAGTCTGCTGCTAGACGTATTACACCTCTATTATATGTTATTTGTTTCTTTTCTCTTGCTGCTTTTAGGGTTCTTTCTTTATCCTTAATTTTGGGAGTTTGATTCTTAAATGCCTTGAAGTAGTCTTCTTTGTATTAAATTTGCTTGGTTTTCTATAACCTTTCTGTACTTGAATATTGATATCTCTCTGTAGGATATTGGATATCCTATTATTCTCTTATTATCCCCTTGAATAAGCTTTCCACCCCTATCTCTTTCTCTACTTCCTCTTTAAGGCCAAGAACTCTTAGATTTGCCCTTTTAAGGCTATTTTCTAGATCCTGTAGGCATGCTTCATTTTTTCTTCTTTTTCCTATTGTCTCCTTTGACTGTTATTTTAAAATAGCCTGTCTTCAAGCTTAGTAATTCTTTCTTCTGCTTGATCAGTTCTGCTACTAAAGAACTCTGGTGCAGTCTTCATTATGCCAAATGCCTTTTTCAGCTCCAGAATTTCTACTTGATTCTTTTTAACTATTTAAATCTTTTTGTTAAATTTATCTGATAGAATTCTGAATTCCTTCTCTGTATTATCTTGAATTTCTTTGAGTTTCCTCTACACAGCCATTTTGAATGCTCTGTCTGAAAGGTCACCTATCTGTGTTTCTCCAGGATTGGCCCCTGGTGTCTTATTTAGTTGATTTGGTGAGATCATGTTTTCCTGGATTGTCTTGATACTTCGTAGGTGTTATTTTGTGTCTGAGCATTGAAGAGTTAGGTATTTATTGTAGTCTTTGCAGTCTGGGCTTGTTTGTATTTATCCTTCTTAGAAGACTTTCTAGATATTTGAAATGACTTGGGTGTTGTGATCTAAGCTGTATTTGCTTTAGGGGAACCCCAAGTCCAGCAATACTGTGGTTCTTGCAAAATCATAGAGGTGCTGCCTTGATAGTTTTGGACAAGATCTGGGAGAATTTTTTGCATTACCAGGTAGACATTCTTGTCCTCTTCCCTTACTTTCTCTCAAACAAATGGAGTCTCTTTCTGTATTCTGAGCCATCTGAAGCTGGAGGTGGAGTGACTCAAGAACCCCTGTGGCCACCACCACTATGACTGCACTGTGTAAAACCTGAAGCCAACAAAAGGCTGCATCTCACCCAAGGCCTGATGTAATCACTCCCTAGCTACTGCCTATGTTCACTCAAAGGCCTGGGGCTCTACAATCAGCAGGTGGCAAACCCAGTTAGGCCTATGTCCTTCCCTTCAGGGCAGCAGGTTCCCCAGGTTTCTGGCAGATACAGAGGTGCTGTCCAGGAGCCAGGGATTACAGTCAAAAACCTTAGAAGTCTACCTGGTATTCTACTGTACTGAGGCTGAGCTGGCACTTAAACCATGAGACACAGTTCTTCCCATTCTTCCTTCCCCTTTCCGAAGGGAGAGGAGCCTCACTCTGTGACCACTACCACCTCAGGCACAGGAGGAGTACTGCCAGACTACTGCTTATGTTTTCTTATAGCCCAATGGCTCCTCAGTCAGCTTGTGGTGATGCTGCCTGTCTTGGATCTCACCCCTTCAAGGGAGTGGGCTCCCCTCTGTCCCCAGGGCAGGTCCAGAAATGCTTCCCAAGAGTAAAGTCCTGGAATTGGATACCTCATGGCCCCACTTGGTACTCTACCCTTGTGGCCAAAGACAAAGTCTCCCTTACTTTTCCCTCTGCTTTTCTCAAGCACAAGGAGTCTCGCCCCAGGGCCACCATAGCTGGCAATGTTCTGAGTCTCACCTAGAGCCAGCAAGTCTCAGAGTCTCACTCAAGACCCTCAATGAAGTTCCTGGGTATAACTGCTGGTTAGTCAGTGCCAAAGGGCTCTTACAGTTAGCAGGTGATAAATGCTGCCAGAACTGAGTCCTTTCCTTCAAGGCAGTGTGTTCCCTTCTGGCCCAGGGTGTTTCTAGAAGTGTCATCCAGGAGCTAGGGCTTGGAAAGGGGGTCTCACAGTTCTGACCAGTGCCTTATCCTGCTGTTGCTGAGCTGTTATCCAAGATGCAAGACAAAGTTCTCCTCACTATTCCCTCTCTTCTCCAGAAGCAGAAGGAAGGGGTCTCTTTTGGAGGTAGGAGCTCTGCAGCCTGGGGTTAAGGGTGAGGAGATGCCAGCACTTATTTAGCCACCCTAGCTGTTGTCTCATTAGGTTGCATGTCCCGTGAGTCCATTGGCTCTGGGCCCAGTTCAACACTAGGACTTGCCTAAATGTGGCCTTGTGAAGTTTATTTAGAGCCTCAGTGCACTTTAGCCTGCAGTGGTGAGGCTCGTGGGAACTCAGTTCTGACCACTGGGATCAGTGATTCCCCTCTGGCTAGGGCTGGTTTAAATGCTCCCTCTTTCGGCGGCTGTTAGCTGAGTTTGGTCTGGTCTTCCTTTCTGTTATGACTGCACAGCACTGAGTTAAATGCCTCACAATTGCAGTCCTCTCCTTCCCCCAGCACACAGAAGTGCTCTCCACAGCAAGCCATGGCTGCCAGGGGTGGAGGAGTTATTAATCTGTTTTTTAATCTATGCCCTGTTTAAACATGATCACTTTTCTGACCTCTATGAGTTCACTACTCTTTTCTTCTGCAGTATGCAATCTGAAGTTAAGAGCATTCAACTAATTTTAAAAAATTTTAGATATAATTTTCAGTTGTAGAATTTCCCTTTAGTTCTTTTTAGCGTTTCCATTTATCTCCTGAATACCCCATATTTTCAACCATTGTATCTTTTACTATAAATTATTTAATGTAATTATAATAGATGTCTTAAAATCCTTGTCTCCTAATTCCAGTAAAAGGGTAATCTGTGATCTGCTTCTGTTGAATATATGTTCACTTAATTATTAGTTTCCTGCCTCTTTGTAGGTCTTAAAGTTTTAAAAAATGATATTCTGAATATTATTTACCAAAGAACAAAAGCTGAAATATCTATATCTATCTTTTAAATTTACTATTTTTTATTGTGTGAGTTTCTTGACTTTATCTTACAGCTTTTGTATTGAATTCTAATTTTAGTAATTATATTTTCAATTTCCTTTAAGCTCCTATTTTCTAATCACTCCACCACCACAACACAGAAGTCTTTTTTTATTATTATATGAATGCACCATTTCTTGGAATTTCTCTTATGCTATTGATTTTCCTCAAATGTCTGGTGATTCATGGTTGTCTACTGTTCCTTGTTAATGGGAAAGGTTGAGTAACATAACTCGCTGGCTAGTTTTCCTTCACCATTGTACTCATCTATTTCCCCTGAATGGGATATTTTAACATAAACTATATATACTTGGGTGAACACATTCACTGATTCAGTGGTAAATAGGCTTGAATTTAATATGGACACTGTGTAATAGGCAGATAAGCTGGTAGTTTTCTTTGGAGTGTAGCACTTCACAGAAAAATTATTCAAATTATTTAGAGGTGAGCTCTTTTCCTCCTGTGTCATATGGCATTTCTGCCAGTTGTCTGAAAGTGAAAATGTGGGAGGGATTTATCCAGCTGTTCAGTAGTCAGTACTTTAATGAAATATCCTCAATACTGCCCTACAATCTACTCCTGCCCCATTTCTAGCCTGTGTGGTTAAATCCTTTCTGGGTTCTTTCCTGGGCACAACAGACCCATCTTCTGTACAGGCCTCATGTGCCACTCCACAAGCTCTGTCTTCTCCATCACTGCAATAATCCCATCTGCATGCTATCTTCTCTAAACCCTGTTAAACACTGTAGAACACTCATTACAGTTTTCTGGCCACTCTGCTTCCACACCTCATTCACTTTTTGCTATTGCATTCTGTTTTTACATTTTTAGAATCATTTTAGTGTGATTTAGGAGGTAGAAAGGTAAATATTCATGCTCAGTCTGCCCTCCTGCCTGAGCAGTAGCATGCATTTAGAATGTCATCTTGTTATTTAAATATTCATGCTTTTGCCTTTTTTTGATTTTTAAAGAAATTTAGAAGCAATAAAATCAGTCTTAAGTATCTTATAGGTTTTTTTTCCCTCTCTTTATATTTTATAGATTCTATCATGGACTGAATGCTGGACAGACCCAGTGCATACTTGTTGAGTGACTAATGTATAAAATCCATTAACATAAACCATAACTGAATGTATTACAACAGAATGTGTAGAAGTTTTGTTGTGGCAAATTTGTGTTCTGGCAAAAGCAGAAAAACTAAAAGCAAATTCATAACATGCATATTTAAAATAATATATGCTTAAAATGAATTGTGCTTAAAGCAGTTTTTGGCTTTGCTTGATTGTATTCTTAGGAAGCAGGAAAGGATAAAGATAGTCAGAAGCTGGTGCAATTAGAAGAGAGAGGCACTAGGAGTAGTAAAGCAAAAGAACTGACAAAAGGTGGAAAATGAGGTGCCTAAAAGTAAAGAGTAAAAATAGAAAATATCTCATCTTCTGCCTCTTGTCTCCTTTGGCATGGAAGGAATTTTGAGGTGGTTCTGACCCTGAACACTTAGAACTCAAGACTATTACAGAAAAACAAATCTGAATTTCTCTAGATCTTGGGTATAAATGCATGGATTCATTAGTTTTCCTCAGGCAGAAGGTAGCTATCTACTTTTTAAACCAGTGGAGTGTTTATGAGAACTAGCAAGGGGCTGCAAACCTCTCTTAATACTTTTTAATTAGGCTGAAATTCCATCAAGGGATTTGAGCTGACTTCATAAATAATGAATGTGAAATTTAATTTTCCAAAGTCACAGGTGCCCAGTCAAGGATATAGACAATTTATGTATCTTTTCAGGATAGGCTACTGCATGTGAACATTGTTCCCGTGCTGAGATGTGTGGGGTCTACGGTAGAACCTGATTTTGCATTATGGTTGAAAACTTCTTAAAGCATTTGTTCCTCTGAACACTTTGGAGATCAGTCAGGTGCATTACTACCTGACTCACTATAATTTTGCAGCATCACTTGTATTTTCCATCACTTGGTTTAATTGTTTGCTTTTCTAATATCTGGAAATGATATAGTACAATGAAAACAGTAAGCATAGGAGTTAATTATGGCTTCTGTTTATAAACACGTCGAATACTAAAGAAGGTAAATGAAGATGGGCCAAAGACAAAAGTAGAGACTGCTTACATGTTAAATTTTTCTATTGTTTGAAAGTCACCTATGATGCATTTTGGAAATGACTGGACAGAAAATATTTTAAAAAATAGACATTTTCCCCCTGGCTGTCTAACTTTCCTGTGATGAATTGGTGTAAACATATAACTTTGTAAAAATAACATGACCCTTTAAATTATAATACTTTACAGTTAACATCACATAGTATAAAGTGCTCCTGCCTGAAAATTTTATATTTTTTTATTTTTGGTAGAGACAGGGTCTTACTATGTTGCCCAGGCTGGTTATATTTCATTTTAATCTTGCAGAATTACACTGTATAAATAGTTCTTACACTAGCAAAAGTAGTTAAAAATGCATATTTCATTTTTACATATGGTAAAATTTTCTCTAGTGAATTAAAATGCTGTTAATCTTTTCGTTGAATATAAATATGGGCTCCCCTCTGATGTAATTAATATAACCTATACTATTCAGTAGAGAACAGAAATGTTAAATCATACATTAAAAAGTGGCAAAGAGTATTTCCTTAGCAAACCAGTTTTGCAATTTCCATAGACTTATGGAAAATGTTATTCACCTCTTGGGGAAAGCTTTTGGCAGAAAGCTGAGTTTTGCTTGCCATCCTATTTGCATCAGTTTAGTCTCTGGTTAGCCTACTCTTGATGTCAATTGTGTATATGCTCTTCATGTGTTGAAAAAACAATTTTAGTTTTCAACCAGTATTTATTTTTTCTACTGGTATTTAATCTCTGTGTTGAGTTTAAGATTTAGCATTCCAATGTGATAGCTTAAATATGTACTGTTTGCAATAATGACTGTTTGCAATTGATCATACGGGATTCTGAAGCTTTGATGCTTATCCTATTAGACGCTCTTCATCTAAACATCCCTGTGGTATAAAATAAGGACATTATATGAAGTATGGTTATGTTACTTATGCACAATAAACCTTTTAGAATTCTCAGCCATCCAATAGCATACATGCAGAATGCACACTAAAAAACAATTTCTAGGTAAGAGTAGAATGATAGTTACCGGAGGCTGGGAAAAGGTAGTGGAGGGGGAGGCAGATAAAGAGGGAATGGTTAGTGGGAACAGAAATACAGCTAGATGGAAGGAGTATGATCTAATGTTTGGTAGCACAATAGGGCAACTACAGTTAACCATTTTTTTGCATATTTCAAAATAATGAAAAGAGTGGAACTGAAATGTTTCTAACAAAAAGAAATGACAAATCCTTGAGGAGATAGCTCTCCTAATTACTTGGATTTGATCATTGCACAACATATGCTTATATCAAAATATTACATGTACCCCCCCAAAGTGTACAACTATTATGCATCTATAATAATTTTTTAAGTTTCTAGTTAAAAATAATGAGAGTCAATAAAAAAGATAAAAATCAATAAAAGACAGTAATAAAATTTGGCAAATAAACATGTGTTATCTACCAAAATGATTTATGTTAATGAAATATGAAGCATACATGTCACTATTAATCCTTTTATTGGAATTTTTGGCTCCTGAATAAAATTACTTGCACTTTATATTGCTTTACTTTTTAATTACTGAAGGTCTGATTATCTATAAACTTTGCTCTAAAATGAGGTAAGTGCTTCTCAACATATGAGTATAAGAGAGTTCTTTTCTTTCTTAGAGTTCTTTATTTTATTTTAGAAGTAAATGTTTTATTCTTCCAACTAATTCCAGTACTACAAGGGCAGTAAAACAATGATACACTGGAAAAAAATGCAGCAGTAAACATTTGTTAAAAAGACTGATAGAATAAATAAAAGTACCAAAAAAAAAATCATATAAACCCATTCTGAAACCCCAAGAAGTCCTGGAATACAAAAATGCCCTCCTCTGTCGCTATTTCACAGGAGGCACTGCAGGCTATTTTCTTAATATTGTCCTGGGATTATATTCTAAAATTAGTACCTGGTTACAGCTTGGTTGTATTGCACAATTAAAATCACAGTAACTTCATTTGAGTGTCACTCTACAGTTTTTTTATACAACCAGTGAAGGGCATGTTCTAGAATACCAGCTTTAATCGTTTTAAAACATTAATGTAAGAAGCCAAATTGTAATGATAACTTACAAAATGAGGCCACTGGTATTAATACAGGTAGCAAACATCCACATCCAGGTGGTACTGACATCAGGGAAATTTCCAAAACCCGTTGCTGTTGCCTAAGAGTGGTTACCACTGAAGAAAGCTTGAAATAACTTGTATTCACAGAAGGGGTATTGGCATTGCTCCATGTCATAAGTGGGACCTCTTGCAACAACTCAACAAGGAAGAAGGCAGCTCGCAAATGCAGAATACATGATTCATGAAACATAACTAGCAGGCTCTTCTCCATATCATCACATTATTTGATCATGTGTAAATTTCACAGATGCATCATTATTGTTCTGCAAGTTTTGTGTTCAATATTCTTCATGTTCTTCCCAAACTTTCTCTTCATGTTCTTTCAACTAATGTTCACAGATCATTCCAACCTGCCATAGAGTAAATAAGGGCTGTTCTTTTTTTAATGGTGAGGATGCTGCAGATGAAGTTCCTGGTGAAGCTGATCCACTGAGGAGAAATGCATGTGCATCAGAAGTACAACACAGATCTGTGTCTTGGAAACTCGTTTCTGAGTATCTTCTCTTCTGCCTTTCTTTTCTTTTTCTTTTTGCTTTGGCAAAGGCAAAAGTCTTTGCCTTTTTGCCTTTGCCTTTGCCTGAAACAGGGTCTCACTCTGTCACCCAGGCTGGAGTGCAGTGGAGTGATCTCAGCTCATTGCAACCTCTGCCTCCTGGGCTCAACAATCCTCCCAACTCCTTAGCCTCCTGAGTATCTGGGACCACAGGCGTGTAACACCATGCTCAGCAATTTTTTTGTATTATTAGTAGGGATGAGATCTCAGCTTATTGCAACCTCTGCCTTCTGGGCTCAACAATCCTCCCAACTCCTTAGCCTCCTGAGTATCTGGGACCACAGGTGTGCAACACCATGCTCAGCTGGTCTTGAACTCTTGAGCTCAAGTGATACACCCACCTTGGCCTTCCAAAGTGCTTGGATGACAGACATGAGCCACTGCACCTGGCTCTTAAGGTGTATGTATTCATAATATTTGTCTGGATGTTAATATTGAGATGATAAATTTAAAAGCTAAAGACCATTAAAATGGAATGACTGCATTACTTACCTCAAGTCACTATACTTTATTAAATTGATACTGGAAGGAATTGGGGGTACAAATGGCAGTATGTTTTTTCTTGCTGTGTGGCCTGATCCTTGGGTTATCTCAGAATAGAATTTATAATTACTGAACTGTGCTATTTCACTGTCCTTTTGATATATAATATTTTAAATATTTATGGGGTCCATGTGATATTTTGTTGCGTGCATAGAATACCTAATGGTCAAGTCAGAGTATTTAGGGTATCCATCACTCTGAGTATGTATCATTTCCATGTGTTGGGAACATTTTAAGCCCTCTCTTCTAGCCATTTTGAAATATACCATACATTGTTGTTAACTATAGTCACCCTACTTTGCTGTTGAACAATAAACCTTACCCTTTCTATCTAGCTGCATGTTTGTACCCATTAACCAGCCTCTCTTCATCTCCTCTACCACCTGCACATTCTTCCCAGCCTCTGCCATCCATCATTCTACTCTCTACCTCCATGAGACTTACTTATTTAGCTCCCACATAGGAGTGAGAACATGTGATACTTGCCTTTCTGTGCCTGACTTATTTCACTTAACATAATGACCTCCAGTTCCATCTATGTTGCTACAAATGACAGGCTTTTATTATTTTCTAAGGTGAATAGTATTCTGCTGTGTATATATACCACATTTTATTTATCCATTCATCCACTGATGGACACTTAGGTTGATTCTTTGTCTTAGTTATTGTGAATAGTGCTGCAATAAACATGGGGATGCATGTATTTCTTTGATATACTTACTTCATTTCCTTTGGATAAATATTGAGTAATGGGACTTCTGGATTGTATGATAGTTCTATTTTTAATTTTTTGAGCAATCTCCATACTGTTTTCCGTAGTGGCTGTACTCATTTACATTCCCACCAACAGTGTATAAAAGTTCCATTTTCTCCACACCCTCACCAGCATCTGTTATTTTGTGTCTTTTTATGCAGTAGCCGTTCTAACTAGGGTAAGACGATATTCAGTTGTGGTTTTGATTAATGTTTCCCTGATGATTAATAATTTTGAGCATTTTCTCACATACCTTCTGGTCATTTGTATGTTTTTGTTGTTTTTGTTTTTTGTTTTTTGAGATGGAGTCTTGCTCTGTCGCCCAGGCTGGAGTCCAGTGGTGCAATCTCAGCTCACTGCAACCTCTGCCTCCTGGGTTCAAGCGATCCTCCTGCCTTAGCCTTCCAAGTAGCTGGGATTACAGACTTGTGCCACCATGCCCAGCTAATTTTTGTATTTTTAGTAGAGACAGAGTTTCACCATGTTGGCCAGGCTGGTCTCGAACTCCTGACCTCAGGTGATCTGCCCGCCTTGGCCTCCCAAAGTGTTGGAATTACAGGCATGAGCCCCACTGCGCCTGGCCTGTATGTGTTCTTTTGAAAAATGTCTATTCACGTCCTTTGCCAACTTTTTAATGAGATTATTTGTTTTTTTCCTGTGAGGTGTTTGAGCTTCTTATATATTCTGAATATTATTTTGTCAGACAAATAGTGTGCAAATATTTTCTTCCATTCAGCTAGTTGTCTCTTTGTTGATTGCTTCCTTTGCTGTGCAGAAGCTTTTTACTTTAATATAGTCCCATTTGTCTACTTTTTATTTTGTTGCCTGTGTTTTTGAGGTCTTAGCCATAAAATCATTGTCTACACCAATGTTTTGAGGTGTTTTCCCTGTTTTTTTCTAGTTTTATAGTTTCAGGTCTTATGTTTAAGTCTTTAATCTAGCTTCGGTTGATTTTTGTATATGGTGAGAAATAGAGTCCAGATTCATTCTTCTGCATATGGATATCCAATTTTCATAGCATCATTTATTGAGGAGGATGTTCTTTCCCCAATGGATGTTCTTGGCATCTTTGTAAAAAAAATCAGTTAGCTGGAAATACATGGATTTATTTTCAGGTTCTCTATCCTGTTCCATTGGTCTATGTGTCTGCTTTTATACACATACAATGCTCTTTTGGTTACTGTAGCTTGGTAATGTATTTTGAAGTCAGGTAGTGTGATGCCTCCAGCTTGGATATTTAGGATATTTTTTGTTTCTATATAAGTTTTAGGATTTTTTCCATTTCTATGAAAAATGATGTATTTTATTTTATTTTATTTATTCCTGTATTTCTTCTAAAAAAAAAAACAAACCCAGGATACATGTGCAGAATGTGCAGGTTTGTTACATAGGTATACATATGCTGTGGTGGTTTGCTGCACCTATTGACCTGTCCTCTAAGTTCCCACCCCCATCCCCCAACAGGCCCTAGTATGTGTTCCTCTCTCTGTGTCCATATGTTCTCAATGTTCAACTCCCACTTTTGAGTGAGAATATGCGGTGTTTGGTTTTCCGTTCCTGTGTTAGTTTGCTGAGGATGATGGCTTCCAGCTTCATCCATGTCCCTGCAAAGGACATGATATCATTCCTTTTTATGGCTGCCTAGTATTCCATGGTGTATATGTACTACATTTTCTTTATCCAGTCTACCATTGATGGGCATTTGGGTTGGTTCCATGTCTTTGCTGTTGTAAGTAGTGCTGTGATAAACATATGTGTGCATGTGTCTTTATAGTAGAATGATTTATATTCTTTTGGGTATATACCCAGTAATGGGATTGCTGGGTCAAATGGTATTTCTGGTTCTAGACCCTGGAGGAATCACCATACTGTCTTCCAATGGGTGAACTAATTTACATTCCCACCAACAGTGTAAAAGCATTCTTATTTCTCCAAAGCCTCGCCAGCATCTATTGTTTCCTGAGTTTTTAATAATCACCATTCTGACTGGTGTGAGATGGTATTTCACTGTGGTTTTAATTTGCATTTCTCTGATGATCAGTGATGTTGGGCTTTTTTCATATGTTTGTTGGCTGTATAAATGTCTTCTTTTGAGAAGTGTCTGTTGATGTCCTTTGCCCACTTTTTGATGGTTTTTGTTTGTTCTTTTTCTTGTGAATTTGTTTAAATTTCCTCTTCTACTTTGGGGTGGTTCTGTTCTTGGTCTTGGGTAGTTTCCTTCCTTATATGTATCATTATTTAGCTGAAGATTCTAGAGTACATTTTTACATCTCTGGACCTCTTTCTCCGTAAAATCTCTCCACTCTGATATTCTGCTTCCTGATCTCTCCAGATTACCAGGTCTCCTTCAACTCAAGGAGCTTGCCTGGCTCCACCTGGCTTCCTTCATTGCCAGAAATTCCCTCCAGGCAGTAAGCTGGGGGCAATTGTAAGGCTAATTTTGTGTGAGTCATATGTCTCAGGAATCACTGACCCTTCATTGTGTGATTTCCAAAGTCCAGAAATGTTTCTTATATTTGGTTCATTTATTTAGTTGTTCCAGATGGAAGGAAAATTTAGCCCTTATTTCATCTTGGCCAGAAATGGAAGTTCTACACATTATAATATAATTTAGAAATACAAAATACCACAATTAGTTTTACTTAAATTTAACAGAATCAAAAGATTCTAGAGTGAAACTGAAGAAACAATGGAATTTTGGCTCAGTGTTACATCATTGTAAGCCAGGACTCAACAAACTACATCAAGCAGGCCAAATTCAGCTCATGGCCTGTTTTTGTGCAGCTTGAGGGCTAAGATTTTTTTTTTTTTTTACATTTTTAAAGGGTTGTAAAAGAAACAAAGAATAATAAGCAACAGAGATTGTATGTGGTCTGCAAAGCCTAAACTATTTACAATCTGACCATCCACAGAAAAAATGTGTACAAAAAAGCCTAAAAGATCTAAGGTTAGAAAAATTATTATGAAGGTTTAATTAAGTTTTTTGGGTCATTTTTTAACAATTTCATGCTTAAAGTTGAGATAATATAAATTTTCTCCCTGATGTTAATTGTAAGGAAATACTTCTTTCAGCCATTTGTGTACCATCCTTCAGTTTTGTTGGTTATATTATTTTTCTTTGTCAAAGTTTGAAACATTCAAATTATATTTTCCCACAAATTACTATAGTTATTTAAATAAATTATTTAAATTGATGGAATGCCTACCAACCGTTATTCATGAATTACATTTCTATTTGAGTTCCTTATTTTATACATTTCTTGATTAGCATAGGATTTTACTTTTCATAAAGCTAGGGTAAAAATTATATTTCTTATAACTTTGTGTGCCTAATAAAGTCAGCTGCCTCAGTCTCAAAGGAAAAGTTTGATGAGTATAAAATTCTAAGGTCACACTCTCTCTTAGAATATTTTACTCATTGCTCCATTGTCTTCTGGCAGTTGCTATGAACAGGTATGAAGGCATCCTATTTCTCATGAGTGGAAAAGTTATTATTTTTCCTGCCTAGATCGTAAGGAATCAGGAAGTTAGCATCTATTATAGCCATGGATGCATTTTCTGTTCCATCTGTTACATAAAACATATCTCTATATTAAATTGTTTTCTTTACTCTTCGTATCTGTTAACTTCCCTCTAATTTCTTCAGTGTCATAGTGTATTCATTTTGATTGTTAATTTGTTCATTAACTTATCTATTCATTTATTCATTTGTTTATTTAACAAATGATTTCCATATATAAGTTTACAACAGTTAACAAAGTCTGTACCTCCTTACGGTTTACATTCTGGTACAGAGAGAAATACAATAAATAAATGAATAAATGCATATTAGGCAGTGATATGTGAGTGCTAATGAGACAATACAGCATTCAGACATTCGCAATGCATATTGGTTGGGGATAAGATTTACTTTTTTTCAGGCCGGGCGCGGTGGCTCACAACTGTAATCCCAGCATTTTGGGAGGCCGAGGCGGGTGGATCACGAGGTCAGGAGATGCAGACCATCCTGGCTAACACGGTGAAACCCCTCTCTACTAAAAATACAAAAAATTAGCCAGGCGCAGTGGCGGGCACCTGTAGTCCCAGCTACTCGGGAGGCTGAGGCAGGAGAATGGCGTGAACCCGGGAGGCGGAGCTTGCAGTGAGCCTAGATGGCGCCACTGCACTCCAGCCTGGGCGAAAGAGCAAGAAAAAGATTTACTTTTTTCAGAGAAGGTGTCTGCAACAAAATGATCTTTGACTAAGGATCTAAAGAAGGTGAGGGTTGTGAGCTAAGGAGGATATCTGGGGGAACAGCATATTCAGGCAGAATGTTTGAAATCCCTGAGCCAGTGGCAAGTTTTTCATATTTGAGGAGCAACATAAAGGCCATTGTAGCTAGAGCAAAGTGAGAAATATAGACAATGGAAGATGAGTCAGAGTTGGATATAGGCCAAATTGTGGAAATAACTTGAGATTTTACTCTGAGTAAGACGGAAAGCCATTGGAGGAAATATTAGTTTTCTATTGCTGTGTAATACATTATCACAAATTAAGTAGCTTAAAACAACACATACATTATCTCATAGTTTCTATGGGTAAGGACGCTGGGCATGGCTTGAGTCTGTTTTGTGCTTTGAAGTCTTAAAAGGCTTCATTCAATGAACTAGCCAGCCTGCATTCTCAACTGGAGGCTTGACTGAGGATGAATCCACTTCCATGCTCATTCATATTGCTGGAAGAATTTATTTCCTTGCAGTTATATGATTGAGGGTCCTAACTGTTTGCTGACTGTCAACTGGAGGCTGCCTCAGGTCCTAGAGGCCACCTGCAGTATCTAGATGCTGTTGAAGCTCTTTGTCACGTGGACTTCTTTACATGGTCACTAACTGCATCAAGCCCACAATGAGAGCCTCTCTCTCTAGTCTGATGAGATAGTCTTATATAATGTAATTATAGAGATAACATTATACTAGTCTTGCCATCTTCTATTGGTTATAAGCAAGTCATAGCTCCTACCTACTCAAAGGGAGGAGATTACATAATGACATGAATATCAAAGGGCAAGGATCACCCTAGAGTCTTTCCACTACAGAGGGTTTTGTGCTGGCAGTGACTTGATCTGAATTTTGATATTAAATGATTATTCTTGTTGCTATATGAAGAATATCCTGTAGGGAGGTCAAGACGGAAGCAGGTGGCCCAGCTAGGAGGCTAATGTAATAATCAGGTTGTTTGAAATAGGGTGGTAATGGAGAAGGTAATAAGAAGTGGTCAGATTCTAGATATAATTTTGAGAGCGTTTGTTAATACTAAAGAATTACATGAGATATACAAGCAACATAGAAGATTCAAGAATTATGTGCAAGTTTTTAGCCTAAGAAAATTGAAGAAATGAATTGACATTTACTGAGATGAAGACTTGAATGAAGAATAGGTTTTATTGTGGGATGGCTGGAAAAAAGAATTCAGTTTTAGACTTGTTAAGTTAGGAAATGCTGGTTAGATAGCCAAGTGGAGATGTGGAGAAAGTAGTTAGATAGATGAATGTGGAGTACAGGGGAGAGTTCTGTACTATAGATATACATTTAAGAACCATCAGACAAGATGGAATTTAAAACAGTGAGACTGGATGAGATCACCAAAGAAGTAGGAATAGAGAATCAAAGCCATCTGAAGTCTGATATATGAAACACTCTAATGTTTAGAGGTGGAGAGATGAAGAGGAAACAGCAAGGAAGACTGAGAAGGAGTGTCCAGTGAGGGTGGAAGGTGAAAGAGAACCATGAGAGAGTAGAATCCTAGGAGCCAAGTGAGAAAAATGTTTCACATGATTATCATAAAATCTGTCTTCCTTCTGTATCACTAATTAGACTTCTAGCTAAGTCTATTCTATTCCTTGCTTTTTTAAAGGTATCAGTTACCTAATAATGTTAGATTCACAGTGGTTGATAGTGGTGTTTTTTTTTTTTTAAGTTCTGGATTCTTCCTTTTTCTTTTGAATCTTATTGTATTTCCCCCCACACCCACCCCCACTTTTTTTTTCTTTCTTTGAGACAGACTCTTGCTCTGACACCCAGACTGGAGTGCAGTGGCATGATCATAGCTCATTGCAGCCTGGGCTCAAGCAATCGTCCCACCTCAGCCTCTCAAATAGCTGGGACTATAGCTGTGTGCCACCACATCTGGCAAGTAAAAAAAAATTGTAGAGAGAGAGAGTCTCACTTTGTTTCCCAGATTGGTTGTTATATTTTCTTACCATCTTATTTTTGAGTTCTTGTTTTATTACATATTTAGTGTGAAAAATATTTTGGGAAAAATCTTTTTTATTTGCCTTATATTTTTCTTTCCTTTTTTTCCTCATAACTGAGTTCTTCATCTGTGCAATGATTGTTTCCAGTTTGCATGTATGTGTATATAAATAGTAGTAGTAAGAGTAGGATGTATATTTATTATCTTGCTTATGCATAACATGGGCAGAATGGGTAAATTTTTCTTGAATCATTTTCCACTGAATTTATAACTTATTTGCCCCTCTGGACTACAGTTTGAAGGCTAAGTATTGTTATTATTATTATTGTTGCTTGAGCAAATAAGTGTTAGGGCTGTTTATTGTCTTATTTGAGACACGGTCTCTTCTCTCTTTTCTGAGATTAAAAAAAAAATATTGTCTTACGCAGTCAGAATACATTATCTTTTTGTGGATGGATACCTTTAAACATCATATTGTTTCTCCTACTCAGTGTGTTTCCCCTAGCAGGTTTTTATGCTTTTGCCAAGATCTCAAATTCTTGGAGGTTTTTCATGACCTTTTCCTAGGCTGCCTACTTATTCCCTTAGTCTGCTTCTTTTCCAATGTATCAAGCATAGAATATTCTTACAGTTTTGTCAATTCATAATGTTTTGGCAGTTCACTAGTCTCCCTTTGAGGGGGATGCATTCCAAGACCCCCAGCAGATGTCTGAAACTGCAGAGAGTACTGAATCCTATATATACCATGTTTTTTCCTATATGTACCTATGATTAAGTTTAATTCATATGTTAGGCACAGAAAAAGATTAACAATAACTAATAATAAGACAGAACAACTATAACAATATACCAGCATCACTACTCTTGCACTTTGGGGCCATTATTAAGTAAAATAAAGGTTACTTGAACACAAGCGTTGTGATACCTTGACAGTTGATTTGATAAATGAGATGGCTATTAAATGACTAAGGGTGGGTAGCATAAACGTAGCATATATATGCTGGACAAATGGATGAGTCACATCCTGGGTGGGATGGAGTGGGACGGCATGAGATTTCATCATGCTACTCAAAACAGCATGCAATTTAAAACTTCTAAATTATTTATTTCTGGAATTATCTGTTTAATATTTTTGGACCATGGTTGACCATGGGTAACTGAAACCACAGAAAGCAAAACAATGGATAAGGACAATTACTGTATACAATAGTTCAGGGGCCTGCAGTGAAGATTGAAGCTACAACTTCATCATCCTTAGCTTTCTGCTTCTTCTTTTCTTGAAATAGGAATGTTTTCTAAAATCCAGGTTCTCAATCCTTTCTCTCTCTCTCACTTTCTACTTCTTTTATGTATTTAATGATTATATCTATATAAATAACTCTTAGAGGCTTATGTCTTTCCTGGACTTCTCTCATCATTACTTAAATTCACCATTTGAATGCCTATTATTTCCTTAAACTCAACATGTCTAAACCACTCATCTTCGCATGATACCTGGCACATGGGAAGTGAACAGTGCATTTAATACATTCCATTTTAATTCATCTGTCTCTTCACTATCTTAGGCTTTTAGTTCTTTGACTTGTCTTTTTAATCTAGCCCCATGTGCAACCATTTACTGGTTGTGGTGATGTTTCTTTGGAGTATTTTTCACCTCTAGACCTGCTCCCTACTCCCTTTGTCAAGGTATTTTAAATTCATTTCCACCCCTGCCCTGAAGAAATGAAATTTAGGAACGGTTTTTCTTTCTCATATATCTCTTTTCAGTACAATAAGCCTTTCTTGTTTACTTTTACCAGTAAGTTTCAGGGTAGCTCTATTTAAGGGTTTTCTTCTGTGGAAAAAAATATGTTTTATATATATATATATAACTTACATATTTTAAAGTTACTTCATTAAGGCTAAGGATTTCCTCATTGTTCATGTTGGGTTTCTGATGATGTCTTGGATGATGAGACTCTCTGTCTTGGTTGGTAGTCACTTTTGGCCAGTGTATTTTTTACCTGGGTTTTGAAATCTTCATGCAGAGAATTATTGAAGAATCATTTTGTTCCCTACTGTGAACTTTTGTTTTCAGGCTAATCCATCAAGACGTGTCAACAAAGAGATCATCCCTCTATGTGTTCCAGGGTCAAATGTGCAAAAGTTGGACAGTATTTATTTGTTCTAACGTGAGTTCCTTTTCCATAGAACTAAAAATAATTATAACATTTCTAATTACTCCTCACTTGTAGGGACTGTCTTCAACAATATGTTTCTAATGTTTATGCTGTAATATTTAATTGTGTCCTTTTCTAATTGACATAGACTTGATGGCTTAAATCGAACAAATATCTCATTGAAGCTAAGAATTTGCTATTTTGGATACATTCAGTAATTTGCATCTTTCCTTCAAATCCATTTGGATTGATATGACATACTCCCTGTCACTAGTGACAGCCATTAGATTTGGATTTTTCAGTGTTTCACCAATTTTGTGAAGTAATGAGGCAAAATGCAGTAAAAATTTAATTAGTTGCACAAACAGCGTAGTATAAGGATAGTGACCTTACAGCAACTGATTTGTTGCCTGGTAGCCAGTGCCAATTCAGGGTTTGAAAGTTGGCATAAAGTTGTCAAAACATATTTATGGGATATTCAAAAATCAAATGCATATTTGGAGACTCTGTACCAGAACCTTTTACCAATTGCCTTCTCTTAGGGAATGAATAGCTGCCTGCTCATTTAATACTGGTTCTATCTGATTTATTTTTCAGTTTTGACTCTCCAAACCTATTCTTACATTTTATATTTAGTCCATTATTCATTTTGAATTTTTTGTATAAGGTTTAGGTTGATGTTCACTTTTTGGTCTACAGATATCCATTTGTTCTAGTATCATTTATTGAAAAGGCTTACTTTCATTGAATTTTGCTTCTTTGTCAAAACCCAGCATATTGGTGTTTTGACAATTTCTGGGTGCTCTACTCTGTTTTATTGACCTATTTGTCTATGCCAATACAACACAGCCTTAGTCACTGTAGCTATAGAGTAAATCTTGAAATTGGATATACTTTAATTCTTCCCACTTTATTCATCTTTTTCAAAATACTTTAGCTATTCTAGTTCCTTGACTTTCATATGAATTTTAGAATAATCTTGTCTGTATCTATAAGAAATCTTGATAGGATTTGTATAGGAATTGTTTTAAACCTGTTAGTAGAGTGGATTACATTGCTGGGTTTTTGAATATGAAGCCAGCATTGAATCACTGGAATAAACTCTACTTGATCATGGTGTGTAATTTTTAAAATATTTGCTGAATTTTATTTCCTTCTATTTTGTTAAGAATTTTTGTGTATATTCATGATGAATATGAGTCCTTTAATTGTTTGTTTGGTATTATCCCTGTCTGGTTTTACTGGATTAGTAAAATGAACTTGGAAGTATTTCTCTTGTTCAGTATTCTAGAAGAGATTGTATAGAATTTGTGTTCATTCTTCTTTAATAATGTGGTAGTATTTACAGTGAAACCGTCTAGGTCTGGCAATTTCTTTTTCGAGAGTGTTAAAATTATCAGCTTTATTTATCTAATAATTATAAGGCTATTCAAAAATATCTGTTTCTTATTGGGTTAATTATGACAATTTATACTTTTTGAGGAATTTGTCTATTTCATTTGTTTTCATATTTGTGTATATAGAGCTGTTTTTAATATTTCCTTATTTTTTTGATGTCTGCAAATCTGTAGTGATACCCATTTCATTTCTAATATTAGTAATTTTTGTCTTCTCTCTTTTTATCCTTTGTCAGTCTTACTAGGGATTTCTCAATTGTATTAATCTTTTCAAATAATTGGGTTTTTGCTCTTATTTTTATTGCTCTTTTTCTAAGTTCTTGAAGGTGAAAACTCAAATTGTTAATTTAAACTTTTCCTCTTTTCTAATGTAAGCATTCAGTGCTATAAATTTCCCTCTTACTACTGCTTTAGCTTTGTTGCCCAAATTTTGATATGTTGTATATTAATTTTTCTTTTCTTTTTTTTTTAAGACAGAGCCTTGCTCTGTCTTCCAGGCTGGAGTGCAGTGGCGCCATCTCCGCTCACTGCAACCTCCGCCTCCCAGGTTCACGCCATTCTCCTGCCTCAGCCTCCTGAGTAGCTGGGACTACAGGCGCCTGCGACCACGCCTGGCTAATTTTTTGTATTTTTAGTAGAGATGGGGTTTCACCGTGTTAGCCAGGATGGTCTGGATCTCCTGACCTCGTGATCCACCCGCCTTGGCCTCCCAAAGTGCTGGGATTACAGGCGTGAGCCACCGCGCCCGGCCAATTCATTTTAATTTAACTGTGTTTTTTAAAATTTCCCTTGAGACTTTCTTTCTGACCCATAGATTACCTAGAAGTACATTGTTTAGTTTCCATGGGTTTGGAGATTTTCCTGTTCTTCAAGGTAGAGAGAATAGGCTTTGGTTTGGTTTGGGCCTTTTTTTTTGTTTTGTTTTTGGTCTGCATCTGTTGGTATTCTTGGATTGCTGACCTCTTTACTTCCAAGTCTGAGATATATGAAATGAAAAGAAAAGTTAGGGAACGCACCACTGCGTCAGTCCTTGGGTGCTGAGGTCCCTAGCTAGCGTGCCGCCTCCTCTTTACTTTCAGAGTCTTCCAATGCTTATTTTATATAATGCCCAGAGTTTTTAGTTGTACTTCGGGGAAAGAAAAGGGAAAATTACATCTACTCCGTTTTCTCAGAAGCAGAAGTTGGTATTTCCTTTATTTCTATATTCTTGAGGAGTACCATGCTTTTGGTCACGTATGCCTGTTATAGGCAAAATAGATGAAAGGTGTCAGGGAATAAATCTCAACACAACAATGAAATGAAAATTATTTTAATGTTACCAGCAGTTTTTCAAAGGGTGACATATAAATCTCATTGATAAATAAACTTGTTTCTCAGAGTTTGCTATCTTTTTAGAAATCCATTATAAAAGCTGAAAAACAGGCATATAAAATGGGCTGTACCAGGCTGTTAGAAAGCCAGTTATGAACCAGACGGTGTTCTAAAAACACATACGCATCCTTTTTATCATGGACATTTTTTCCCTTGTCTGCATTGAATGCTCTGAGAGTGAATGTCAATATTTATACATTCTTGAAGAGTAGAAGCAGAGACAAATTGGCAATTTTTATTTGGCCATAAATTTGCTGCCAGTGGTCAAAGATGAGGTGCAGAATTTCAGACAGTCTCTTTGTCCTGAAAGGAAAGATTTTAGTAAATCTTAGTGGTCATAGGTAGAAGAGAAATTATTGCTCTAATAGTAGCTTTGGAATTTGGAGAAATTTTCCAAACCAGGTACTTTAGAGGTGGGATGTTATATACTCTGTTCAAGAACATAAAAACCTTATACAACTGGAGCAGAGATCTATACAGAATGAGAAGCGGTCTGGAGGTGCCTGGAACTGATAGGATGAGGACCTTATCGACAGAAATTAGAAAAATTTCTGATTTAAAAAATATCTTAAATCTAGCATCTTATCAATTTTAAAAATTTTTAGTGATTTTTTATTATTATTTTATTATAGACTCTTGAATGTTCTATGTATATAATCTTATTAGCAAAAAAGATGTTTTTATGTCTTCTTAGCCATTCTTCATTTGTTACAACTTAAAAGACAATTTGAATAATAATGATGAGGAGGACATCCCTCTTTACATTTTAAAATTGTTTTAACTATTTTTTGTAAGTAATCTTTACATCATATAAAATGTTTCATTTTATTAATCTGCCCTTATTCATCCACAAATACATTTTACCGTCAAAATAGTAATACTTTCAAATTGGTAAATGTTTTCTCCCTATATCTTTATATGGATGTTATAATCAGAAGAACCATGTTTCTTTCAAGTTGTGATTATAGAATTTAGCTGTGTATCTTGTGGTTACAGTTATTGATGCAGCAATGTGTTATAGTGGAAAGATATTAGATTTGAAATTAGAAAACCTAAGTTCAAGCATTGAACCTAATATTTATTAGCTATGTGACCTTAGATTAGTCCTTTAGCTTCTCTGAGCCTCGGTTTTCCCATCTAAAAGTGGGGATAGTATTGTGTTATTGATCTCATATCTTTGTTTTCAGAAAGAAAATAGATTTTTGAAACAACTTAGTAAACTACAAAGCATTGTGTGCCATAGTTAGGGTGATTATATGTTCCAATTTTCCTTGGACATTTATGTCTGTTATCCTTGCTTGATTTCTTTTGCTTTCTAAATTTAAATTAAATTAAATTTTTTAGAGACACAGCCTTGCTGTGTCCCCAAGCTGAAGTGTAGTGGCATGATCAAAGTTCCTTGTAGCCTTAAACTCTTGTGTTCAAAAGATCCTCTCAAATTCTGGCTTAATTTGTAAGAGCACCTCTCCTAGTCTCAAAAGTGTCCTAGAGTGAATGATAAATTTTGTCATCTAAAATACAGTTATTATCTTTCTTATACATGTCATCCTGGGTAGATTGAAAACTGACTGAGGACAGGGATAGCTCTCCACCTTTGTGTTACCAACCCCACGTAGCTCAGCACCTTTCATTTAGGGCACTCTTAATCCTTGGATTAAGGAATATTTTTTAAAAATAGCTATTTAAACCTGCTATAGATAGTGTTTTCTAGTGAACATCATTATCTTGGCTGATACTAGAACTTAAATAGGTTGTGTGGAAGGAACTTGCAGCTGTATAATATGCCATGTTTTTCAGTTTGGGCAAGCAAAGTATAATTTAAGAGATGTATCTATAATAAATTGGAAAATATGCACTTAGAATCACTGAGCTGCTTAAAGACCTGATTAAAAGCCCTGTGCAATACCAAGTGAGTTTATGACCTGTGTTGACAAATAGAACTATAGAAAAGAACATTATAAGATTGGGAATTTAGAAGTGATGGTTTTATCTCAGATTATTTAGTAGGTTTTAGTAGTTTTAGAGCTCTGTTTTTATTTTTATTTTTTGTCTCTTAATCAGGAGATTAAAGTTCTGGTGAACTGCAATGAATGCTTTGCTAAGTATTTACTGGATTCCCTTTTGTAAATCTTAAAACTTCAGGCACTACTTTTTTTTTTGTCTTGGGCTGAGAAATAGTATTCTGGGTCATATTGTGAGACATTTGCTTTTGGAGAAACAACATTCAATCCGACACTTATTTTAGAGAAGATTTTGTATTTAATCATTTTCAAGAATATGAGTAATCCAGAAATCTATCTCCTAGAAACCTTGAATTTAGGGGTAGGATGAAAGAAAGTAGTTTAGTTTTTAAATGTTCATAAGAAAGGAGGAATAATGCAAAGTTGCTGCATTGTCTAAAGTAACTTGGATTTTTTTTTTTTTTTTTTTTTTTGGCAAAAAGAACTCAAGAAAAATGTGGGCTTATTTTCAGGATCATTAAATGACAATGAAGCAGTAAAACTCATGAACCTGTCCAATAATGTGGAAATGATTACTTGGTGAAAAAAATAAATGTCTAATTATTACAACATCTTAACTTGCTAAATTAAAAACAAATTAAAACATATTTTTCTATCTTCTCTTTTATATATACTTTCCTCCTGGGAAAGGCAGACAGTTGGAGGTATTTTACTTCATCTTCCTGATTTTTTTTTTTTTTTTTGGTTTTAAGAAGAGGGGAGTTTAATAGGCAAGAGGAAGGGAGAAGAGAGAAGGAAGAAGCTCCCTCGTACAGAGACAGAGGGAGGGGGCCTCCAAAGCTGGAAGAGGACGTCCCCAAGTGCAGCAGACTCCAGCCAGGTATATATGCAGAGGCTGGAGGAGGCCATGTCTGATTTGCATAGGGCTCAGGGGATTGGTTTGACCAGGCATGTCATTCACGTGGCCTGCGGAAAAAGCTGGCCTTCCCACCCTAGCCTTTTAATATGCAAATGCAGGGCACCATGATGTTCTACACACGTGGGGATATGTGGGGGCAGCCATGTCGCGAGGAACATGTGAATATTGTTTTTTTAAAGGAAATAGAGGTTTTTATTTTATTGCAAGCATGTTGCTGCTGTAGGTTTGCAAATTGAGGAGGTGACATGTATTACAGTTAGTTTTGGTTCTGCAAGAAAAAGAACTTCTGGATATCTGTTTCAGGACCAGCGTGTATATACTTAATACTACTGAACTTTAACACTTAAGGTTAAAATTGTAAATTTTATGTTATGTGTTTTTTTACCACAATAAAAAAAATTTTTTTTTACCTGGTCAATGTAGTCTATTTTCTGTAAATAAACCTTGGATTAGAGCTTACCCAGAAATCTAAAATAATGAAGCCTAGAGATTTTAACAGACGATTTTCTTATATGAATGACATTTACCTTGAAAGTCACGATAGAGAAGCACAAAGAATCAGCCATGTACATACACAAATATATAAGGTATATAAAATTAGAACTATGAGTTAGGCTAGATGAGCTCAGCATTACCATATTAATATTGTTACAGATTTGGCATTTCAGGGCTGAGATGACAACTATATTCTAAATCTTCAATTGTAGGTTTAGTTAACAAACAAAAAACACCAAAGGGAAATAGGTAATCAGGATAAATTGTTAAGGGAGCATATGCATGATACCAGTTCACCACTTTGGCCAGTAGTATTGAACACTTGCATGAAATAATTATTCTAACTTTTAACATGCACAGCAGTCAACTCATTTAAATGAACTCCTCTCTGCCCCCTCCACCTCTAGTGGGAGTGCTAATGAACAGTGAAGTGGCTGAGAAGAATCACTAACTGGCTATTAAATGATGGAACATCAGCTTTATCTTACAGTTTGATGTAAAAAGAAATGTGAGAAATGTGGATTAAATCTCAGTAATATTAACATCACATTATGCCGGATTTGGAGAGATCATTACAGAACAGTTAGTTTAAATACCCATCTGATGCCTAGCTCCTTTCTCTAAAACAAGATTAAGAAGAGTGTATTTAAAAACAATACCAGATTACAAACTGGTTGTCATGTGGGCTCTTTTGCACTGTGATATTCGATCTATTTGGTGGATATTAATTCTTTCTTTTTTTTTTTTTGAGACGGAGTTTTGCTCCGTCGCCCAGGCTGGAGTGCAGTGGCACCATCTTGGCTCACTGCAAGCTCTGCCTCCCGGGTTCACGCCATTTTCCTGCCTCAGCCTCCCAAGTAGCTGGAACTACAGGCGCCCGTCACCATGCCCCGCTAATGTTTTTGTATTATTAGTAGAGATGGGGTTTCACCATGTTAGCCAGGATGGTCTGGATCTCCTGACCTCGTGATCCACCCGCCTCGGCCTCCCAAAGTGCTGGGATTAGAGGCGTGAGCCACCACGCCCGGCCGATAGTAATTCTTAAGTGGTTAGCTCTGACCATTAGCTATTTCTTCACTAGATGATGCAAAATCTGTGTCCACTTAAATTTTTTCCCTCAGATAAGCATTCCCAGGATCTTTAAGAGTTCTTTATACAACAGGCTTTCAAGTGTTTTTTAAAAAATCTTAGCTGCTAGCCTTTAATAAACATGTTCCACAAAGTGTTTATACACAAAGTGTTTAATAAACATGTTCCACAAAGTGTTCACAATATTAGACTCAAAGTGATATCTAGTTGTTAGTTTAAGTAAGTACTTCAATTTTAGACACTTTTCTGTTTGAATTACTGTTTGAATTAGTAATGTCTGAAAAGAACGACAGCACAGAAAATGACCTGTTACTAACCAATGTTAACATGTTATTTTCAAAGATGCTTCTTGCTTTATGCCTCATTTACTTATACAAATTAGTTTCTCTACTGCCCAAATTCCAAAGTGGTAGTTTTTTTTAGTCATCTTGATTCTCTTTCTTATATTCTTGTGACAATGTATTTTTTTGTTTATAAAGTGACACATTATTAAACAAAACTTGAAAAACACAGCAGTTTGAAGGAAATATATGACCCATAATAATTATCCATAACCATTCATCATTTTGCACATTTCTATTTTTCTGAATGGGGGGTGCGTGTATGTATTTATGCATGAAATATATATAACAGAGTAGAGATTATACTATATACACATTTTGTACTTTATTTTTCTATCAAAATTACATTTTGAGCATTTCTTATTAATTGAACATTTGAAAAACCATAATGTGTAAGTTATGTGTAATATTCCATTTATTTATGAACTATTAGTGGTTCTGTTTACATTGTTTACTACTGTGTTTACATTGAATTATAAATAATCTCATAATGGACATATTTTTATACAAATGTGTATCTCTGCATTTGTAATTATTTTATTTGCAGAAATTTCTTGAAGGATTAATTGATCAAAAGATATGAACATTTCCTGAGGCTCAGAGTTACCTCTCTAAAAGGCAAGGTGACCATGTTGTTGATCATTTCAGCCAGGACATTTTTACCAGAACAAATGCTAACCTGGACAGAACTAGGATAATAGGTGCAAAGATTTAACTGATTGAAATGGGACATAGGGTCATCCTACTAAAAGAAAATAGAATTATTTTTCTTTTAAGTTAAAAGTCTTCCAATGTTTACCCCTTAGTAGGATTAAAAAATACATCTGTTAGTATGATCTATTTTAATAAAGATAGTAAAAGCATATTGTCATGATAATTCATTATCAGCACAAGAATTTATGCTTTCTTATTCATCAGAATCTGTTTATGAATGAATGTAAAGACACATGGAGTGTTAGAAATAACAAGTACAGACACACACACAAACTTAGGATATACAATGTAATCTCACTATAAAATTATAAAATCGATCTGAACATAACACATTTCAAAGCATTACTATAAAGAGGAAGCCTGAACCAAGTAACCAACCAAGAAGTAAAGATGTGGAAGAAAGAACTTTATTAGTCTTTTAAGTCTTTCCCAGATAGAATGAGAAAAGGATTTTACTCTACAATGGGATATTTTGAAGAGATAACTTTCATAATCTAAGTGAATAAATTAATGAACTTGTAATATGAGGATTTTTTAAGAGACAATATGACATTTAAGCGTGACACAACTATTTTAAGGCCGTCTTTGTCTTTAGCTTTTATTCTTTTGCCTATATATGACTTGGAACTTGTGATAAGGCATTGTGCTTGACAGGGGCAGATAGTTAGATGACAATTCGAAGACAAAAATTTAGTAGGACATTTTTAAAAACAGTAGATTTAAAAGGGGTTGCTAAGAGGGTTCTTGGCAGGCAATGATATTCTGTTTCATAGATAACAGTTTCCTTGGGTTATCTGTCTGAAAAATAAAATTGTGTTCTTTATAGAAAATATATAACTGCTAATAAACATTCTTGCTGTAATTTTAATTGTAGATTTCTTTTACTATTTAGGACATATAAAGAGATGGAAAATATAAATCATGAAGTTAGAGGTATGATAGAATGAGCACTGGACATATAAAGACAATTTTCCTTCCTTGCCAGTCCAGATGTCTTTCGTTTCATTTTCTTTGCCTATTGTACTGATTAGAACCTTCTGTACAATACTATAGAAGAGGTATTGAGAATAGACATCTTTGTGTCGTTCCTGACCCTAGGGGGAAAATTGTTCAGTCTTACACTGTTAATTTAAGTATGATACTAGCTGTAGGTTTTTCATAGGTGCTCTTTATCCAGTTCAGAAAATTCTATTCATGGCTTGCTGAAAGTTACTTTAAAATGAAGAATGAATATTGAATTTTGTCAAACTTGTTTTTCCCTAAATCTACTGAGATGATTATGTGGGTTTTCTCATTTAGTTTGTTAATATGGTGAATTACATTCATTATATTTTATTGTTAAGACAATTTGCATTATGGGATGAACTTTGTTATGATGTGTTATTCTTCTTACAGATTACCAAATTTTATTTACTAATTTTATTTTGCATCTATGTTCATAAAGGATATCGTCCATAGGTTTTGTTTTATTTTTCTTGTAATGTATCTCTGGTTTTGCCTTAATACTTGCCTCACAGAAGAAGTTGAAAAGTATTTTTGTCCTTTCCAATTTTCTGGAGAGCTGTGTAGAATTGATATTACAACTTTCTTAAAATCTTGGTAGAGTTCACCAGTGAAGCCATCTGGGCCAGGAGCTTTGTTTGTGAAAAAGCTATCCAGTCAATTTTAAAAATAAGCAGGTTATCTGTTTCTTCTTGAGTGAACTTTGGTAGTTGGTATCTTTTAGAATACCATTTTACTTAAGTTGTTGAATTTTTTTGACATAAAGTTATTGATAAAATACACTTATTTAACTTTCTGTAGAATCTGTAGCAATGCCCCCTTTTTTTATTGTGTCTTCACCCAGTTTTTCTCCATGAGTCTGGCTAGCAGTTTATCAGCTTTATTGATTTTCTAAAGAATGAGCTTTGGAGTTTATTAATATTTTCTATTTTTTTTCTTTTTTGTTGATTTCTGCTCTGCTATTTATTTACTGTGCTTACTTGAGGTTTAATTTGCTATTCTTTTTATTCTATAAATGCCAGTTATGTCAAGTTGCTTGATAGTGTTAACTCTCCTGCATTGTTGCCAATTATCTATTTTTCTATCAATTACAAAGAAATATTCAACTTTCCAACCATAATTGTAGATTTGCGTATTTCTCTTTGCAGTTTTATTAGGTTTTTACTTTATGTAGTTTCAAGCTCTGTTATTAGGTGCATAAACCTAAGCACAATAGGATTGTTATGTCCTCTTATACAATTGACCCCTTTATTATTATGAAGTTTTTTTTTATCCCTGGCAATATTCTTTGCTCGAAATATACTTTAATATTAATATAGCTACTCCATTTTTTTATTTTGATTACTGTGGCGTGGTCTACCTTTTCTATCCTTTTACTTTTAAACTTTTTTTTTTTTTAGCTATAGAGCATTGTACATTTTGGGGCTCTAGGTTTTATGTGGGTGGATCTTTGATATCATTTTGCACTTTTGAGGGACTTGGACTGTATCTTCGCTCCCCTATGTGTGCCCCATTAACATGCTGAGTCAGAATGGTAGGTAGTTTTATTTGTGAAGATGTAGAGAAGGGCTCATTTTGGATATAAAGGGTTGTTGGATTTTGTGTGGTCAATTTGAGTTAGCAATTCCTGATGGACTACCTTGGGGGCGGATATGTCCAGCAGGCAGTTGAATATATGGTTCTGGATCTCAGAACTACGTGTTCAGGAGGACTTGAATTCATGGGTATGGAAGAGTTTCCCTAATAAAACTCTTCAGAATGAGAGGACCAAGTATGAAAACCTGGCGTGCATGAATATTTAATGAGATAGAATCTGTAGTTTAGGAAAGTTCTAATGCCATAGTGATACTTATAATAATAATTTTTTATATCTATGAATTGTTAAATACAAAAACAGTGAATCCTATATAATGAAAGATTATTTGGATATTTCACTCTATGATCTGCAGAGATTTTAATATTTCTTCTAAAGTACTTGATCTAAATGTATTACCTCAGATAGCTTAAATGTCCATAAGTATATTTTTAATAAATTTAGTATGCCACAAAGAATTCAATTGTCCTGGTTAACGAGTTACATAAAGTGCCCAAAAAACTCAAGTTTGTCAGCTTTTTTGTTCATAACTCTTGGTGCCAAGTAATATGACAGCGGATTCACATATCCTAAACCTTTGATAATTATGTGATTCAGTTGCCGTGTCTCAGAGTATTTTCCCTAATGATCTTTGGTCTCTGTTTAAGTGCTCCTGTTGTTGAGTAACCTTACCCTGATTAGGGGTGGGGGAAATAGTGGGATAATCCCATTACATGAAAAATGTCACAGGCTGAATTCTGCATGCTGGAACTCTTGGCAGCAAAAGTTCAAGTTCCTAAGGGTTGTGTGTAGGCTGTTCAGAAAATTGATCCATGTAAGATTTTATTTTAACTTTAAAATGCACTTGTCCAAAAACTTTTAAAGCAATGTAATAATATTTGGCATAATGTCTCTACTTAATTTTTTATGTTAACTGTTGGTTATCTATGAAATTTATTGTACTTATCCATAATCCAATGACAGGATAGAAAATTGGATGGTTCATTATAAGTGATCTACCTAGAAAGTAAAATTTTCGAATTCTAACTCTGGTTTTATTATCAGCAGATTGTGTGATGTGGGCAAAGTTATACGCTGGCTGGTATTGCAGTTAATCCAATGTCCAAATTTCAGAAGGATTTTGAAATTATGTCTTTGCTGAAGGCATGATTACTAACAATTTAATCTAACCATCGCTTCATGTTTTTATAAAATATTTAATTTAAAGCCAAATGCAAGACTTGTGAACAGAACCTCATCTCCAGTTTAATTATTATTTTAGGAACTTTGGTGATAAAATTAGTTACATCAGGGCTGTGAGTTACGTGAGACGTGGAACTGATTATCACATTCATTTCACATGAATTTTTTTCTAGGCCCATATAACTAAAATTAGGCCAGCTATGTAAGTTAAAAATAGTAAATACTGTAAACCATAAAACAGATATTCTTAGTGTATTTATATTTATAAAAGTCCATTTTATGTTATCACTTAAAAATGTGTCTATAGTTCCTCTACAGTCGTATTTATTCTCTTTGTATTTTTCAGGAAATATTTACGCATAGGGATTGCAATTATTCAAAAATCATTTTAACTTGTCATGTTAATGATAAGAGTGATGATCAGCAAAGGTAATAAACACAGCTCAACAAACCATTTAATACAATGAAAAAGTGCAGTTACCATACTGAAACTTTTACTCACCAACATAATCAGTGAGGGAAGACCATAGGCCTTCAAACAAGATGCATCCTAGAAACTGGGGTCCAGTTCAGGAAATATTATCCTCCAATACTGATGTTAGCACCATGCATGGATGGGATTTGCTATTTAAAGCCATCTCTCGTCTAGTGTAATTTTGAAACTGCAGGAGCTGAATATGACAGCAAGAATGAACCAAATTAAAATATAATTAAATATAGTGAAATAAAAATTACATATTGTGAACATATGTTGAAACAAATACAGGTAATAATCTTTCATGAACTGTTGAAAAACCAGTTGTAGAGTAAGCATTCTCTTTGATACACAAAACTTGTGTGTATCAAGTTTTCTCAGGCAAGATGGCACCCAGCTTAATACCCTTTTATTGTAATATCTGAGCGTCACGTGTCTTCATGAAGATCTTCATGATAGTTACTTTAAGAAATAAATAAATGGCCATTTTAGTGATAGATAATTTTGGTTAATGAAAATCATTTCATTAGATTTTACCTCTTTCTATTCTCTCTTTTAAAAATTATATGAGTAATGCAAGTTGTTTTTAGAAAAATTAGAAAAGAAAAAAGATGAAATTGCATCACAATTTCATTTGTACTTTTTATAAAATATGATCCTTTTAAACATATTATTTTAAAATCTAATATTTGTTTTTGTTAGTGATATCATTAGGTAAAGATATTTCAGTTAGCCCTAAGTAAGGAAAAAATATGATTACTACTATTAGGTTTACTTTCCATTAATGTGAAAAGAGTAGCAGTAGTAACACTGAATTTAAACATCAGAAAGTTATATGCAATGATGTTTTTAACCTGAAAGCCTGAGAGCCAAATCCTGTACCTATAGGAATCCACCAAATTTTCTATTTTCGTCAACCCTCTTTTCTATACTAAGATTTATTCATAATAATTCTTCCCGTTATGGAGTAATGATTGCAAAATAGTAACAGTTGGGTCATTTGTTAGCAAGTAATAGAAATACAATAATAGAAATGTTAACAAAAGACCATACGACCTGTGGGGACAATAAAATGGGCTTTATTTTCTGATAGTAATCTCTATATTGGGTAGACCCAGCCTTTGGGACAATACAAAACTACACTCTGAGGAAGGACTGGAGAGTTAGAGATTATAAAGGCAAGAACTGAAATGCAAGGGAGGGGTATCTGGGGAGCCAGGAACAGAGCCTTGCTTGGACCACCTTTAAGCCTGAAACGACAAGTCTCTATTGGTTAATTCCAAGTGGTCAATTGGGAAATTTTTAGCAGCAGTCTATTTTGGCATCCATAGGCATCAATAACAGGAACTGGTTTAGCTTGATTGCAGAAAGGGAAGTCATAATATTTTTTTGCAACATTTTCCAAGAACACAGAGTATGTGACTGCCCCTTCATCCTACTATGGCTGCCAAGTTTTGCTTTAACTTGAGCATCTCAGTTAGCCACAGGGAGTCCATTTTGTCTGTAGATGGGGCATAATTTGACAGCAATAAGTGTTACAGCCCAGTGGGTTCTTCTTGCCTGCTGCACAGAAAAGCCAATACACAGAGACAGTGGTGTTGCAGTACAGAGAGAGTTTATTCATTGCAAGGCAGCTGAGTTGAAGAATGGGAGATATTTCTCAAATTCACCTCCCTGAGAACTCAGAGGCTAGGATTTTTAAGGATAATTTGGCGGGCAGGGGGCTAGGAAATGGGTGCTGCTAATTGGTTGGGGATGAAACCATGGATCTTGGTCAAAAAATTTCTTGGGTGCGAGTCAGTTTCTGGGTAGGGGCCACTGGACTGGTTGAATCAGTTCCTTGGTATGAGTCATGGATCTGGGTGGTTTCAGTCCGTTGCTAGAATGCAAAAGTCTGAAAAATAACTCAAAGACCAAGATAGTGATGTTATCTATAGGAGCAAATGGGGAAGTCACAAATCTTGTGACCTCTGGTTACATGACTCCTGAGAAGTAAGAAATTATAGAAAAGCAAGCTAGGATAAAATAACTGGTTATCATTTAGCTACACTAACATTTTAGCAGAATTCAGGCCCCTCCCATAATCCTAACCCTGTGGTCTTTCATTAATTTTACAAGGGCAGTTTTCAGTCCCCAACCAGAAGGGACTTAGTTTTGGGAAGGGACTATTATCATCCTTGCTTTAAAGTGAAACTATAATTTCTGTTAGCTTGACCTCCACCCAGGACAGTTAGCTTGTGAGGTTGGAAGCAAAATGGAGTCAGTTATGTTAGATTTCTCTCAGTGTCATAATTTTTGCAAAGATGATTTCATAAGCACAGAGATTCTTATCTTTTTTCTCTTCGAAATTACTTCATCTTTGATATATTTCTAATATTCTCACACATATTTTTATCTTGGCCAATGTCTGTCTCATACTTCATAATAATGCCACCTTTATTGCTCCTTGAGGTCACCTCATCTAGGTGAAGACTGTTCCAGACAGACTCTGACCTTGTTTTTTGGTTTCCCTGATCCCAGCATTAGCTAGTACATAAGATGCATTAGTGTAGCTAAATGTGTCACATTCTAAATTTTTCAAGGATAGTTCATAAAGAAATTTTTTTTGGTAATTTTTCTATGTTTAAAGTGATTTTGAACTGGTTTGATGGAAGAAACATTTTTTTCTATGTCTAGCGCTGTCAACTCTTCTCCTCTTTATCATTTTCTAGGTTAGTGGCAGACCCAAATATCACCTGAGACCCCTTTCCTGTTCTTTCCTGATTTCTGTAACATTCAGAAGCAAATGTTAAAGCAATGCTGCTATTGAGTTTGAGCTATGGTTGAAGTAGTAAAACCTTAGTAAATCATTTTTGTTCAATAACCCATACCATACCTGACCAGAGATATATAGCTTGCGACTTGTCATTTTTGTTAGGGAAATGTAGGATTTGCAGTATGTCAAGCTTTTCTATCCAGCTATGAGGTCTCTAGTACCTGTTCCTGCACTAGAGAGTTGTAGAAAGGCAGGGGAAACTTTCCCTTTGTCCTCTGAAAGTTTGCTGAAAATCAACTGACAAAAGGCAAATTAAAAGGAGAAAAGGCATTCAACATTTGTTGATGTGCACACATATGCAGGGGAGTCATACAAAATGTGAACTTAAAGAGGGGCCAGACGGTGATGCTTAAATACTCTCTTCACAAGAGAGAGATGTATGGGCCTGGGAGGCGGGAGGCAGACATTATGTGAAGGTGAGCAGGGAGCTGCACAGCGACAAAAGTTGTCTCATTATGCATACTAAGTCCCTCAGGAAATCTCTTGTAGCTGCTCTCAGAAGAATAGATGAAAAGTCTGTCCAGGCTAGTGAGGACTTGTCAGTCTCTTCTCTTATGCAGTGATTGGTCTTTCCTGGTTATTTGATGAGATCCCTAGGGAGGGGGTTTAAGACAATTGCATTTCTTTGGAAAGATGTTTTCTTGGTCAGATAAGGAAATTCCAAAGAGATTCTCTCCCAGTGCTTGGGGGTGAAATAAGACAAGGTTAGACGGACCTCGAATCTGATTCAGGTTCTAAGATCTCTCAGCATATCCAAGCACCAGTTTTTGTGGCAATTTGTTGTTGTGCCCCAACAAGGTATAAGAGCATCCTCACTGAAATCCAAATTTGCCTTGTGATTCAAGTACTTGATTCCAGCACTTTTGTTCACAAGGTAATTTGAGGATTTTTTATTTTTTATTTATTTTGTTTTTTTTAAATGCATCTTTTCTCTGGCAAATAGGGCACTTTGCTCAGCTCTAACACCAAGATCACCAAGTGTTTTCTGTTCCAACATCTTCCTCCTCATTACAGAGATTCCTGCAGATTAAAAAAAAAAGTTCCCTGTTCTTCAGGTATTGCATCTTTTTGCAGGACTTTCTCTTCATTCATTTCATAGTGAAAAGCAGCATGCCCAAAGATTAAGAGCTTGAGTTTTGGAGTCAGAGGAGTCTGGATTGAATCCTGGCTCTGCCACTGTAGCTCTTCCGCCTTGAGCAGATCACTGGCTCTCCCCAAACCCCAGTGTCTCTAGCTAAGAAATTGAAATTATCTGTACTAAATGTGGAGCAATTATTATTAAATGTAGCTTTTCAATAATATAATGTATTAAAGGGTTTAGCGTAGTAACAGTCATACTCTGGGGGCTTCACATACCAGTTTATCCTAATTTACAGCCTTTTGTGAGATTCCCTCTGATGTTCTAGTTTAGGAGAGGAGCTCCTCCACTCATTGTGCTTTTCTAAGCCTCTTTTTCTCCTCTAGAAACCTCTTTAAAGTCCCATCTTTTGCATGGATTTTTGTGTATATCCTCAATTCAACATGCAAAAAAATAATACTCTGTGATGACTGCAAATGTTTATTTCACCATATCTGGATTTGGGATCTGCTTGTCCATCTTTCCAACTAATAGTTTAGGATACAAACTAGGCTTTTTTTGTTTGTTCTTCCTGATGTCATATAAATCATGCTATACTGTACACTAGTTGGTATAATATGCTGTCCACATTATTGCTTCCTGGTGACGACCGTGATGATGATGATGAGTTCCGTACAAATACAAAGCCATAATATTTTCAGGATGAAGGCCAATATTAGATTAAATTTAATTAGATTTTAATGTGACTAATTGAATGCACGCCATAGCCTTTTGAATTTAACTTCTTGTGGAGTATGAAGTTATAGGAGCATGGAACTGGTTGTAATACATACAATTCTCAATACATATTTACATGAGGATGTGTGCACCTCATGTAAATATGTATTTAAATTTAACACGTTTATGAAGCTGCTACTAAAAATTGCTATGTGGCAACAGATTAACATCTCTGAGAACTCCTTATAAGAGTAATTAGGAAAGGTGATTCAAATAAAGTATTAAGCAATTTGTTTGTTAAATGTTATAGAGGTCTGTGGAGAACCTTATCCCCTGACTTACAATTGAATAGGCTTTTAATAAATTAATCTGAACTAGAAATTATTTTTTCAAATCCCTCATGTGGAACTCCACCCAAAATTTATTAAATAACAAAGAAATTAAATATAATTTCGCTCCTGGCATTGATTGTCTTATAGAGAGGAGAGATGAGCAGAGCCTAGGAGATCACAATGCCTTTTTAATATAGAAATACTGCAACCTTTATGTTCAATGCACATGTCTTTGTAAGTAAGGGCCTGCTCTCCTAATGTGATCTTGTTCTGTTCATTACTTTAAAACTTGCATATCCCTCTATTTTCCCTACCAATAAAGAATTTCCCCTGTCACATTTTTCAAGCTTTTAGATACAATTTTAAAGATTCACCATGCAGTTTTTCTTAATATTTTGCTTAAACTTGTTTTACTGTATCTTAACTTTATCATTTCTTATTTGGCTACCCTAATGGTTTTTTGAGGCCTGTCCTCCCTACCCGTGACAGATATAATACTGCCTCCTCAGTCATTTCTTTTTTTTTTTCATCACTGAGCATGCCTAGATCTTTTATCCTTTAATCATGAAAATTATTTTGGGAAGCTTGCACCTTTAATTATTAAATTTTTAAAAATTATGACCTCTTGTGTCTCACACATTCTTAAAGTACCCCCTTACCTAGAGATATTGTCCTAATTGATGATTAAGCCTTGTCAATGGAGATAAATTCTTCAGTTCTTTATGATAAGCTAGCAGGTTGATTTTTTTGGAGGATACTTACAGTAACACCTACATTAATTTCTAAAGACCTTAATTTTTACTTTGTGTATCATATAACTCTTTTCATAAATTTTATAAGTTAAAAAGTTTTTACTGCTCTTAATTAATGCTATACATATTTGAGAAATTAAGGTCCCAGAAAATAAATCATATCATACAAGAAGTCAGTAGCTAAATATAGTTTTGGCACATATATTTCTAAGGAACTAGCTCTTTGTACTACTAACAAAATCACTGCAATTTATTGCTATATCAATTGTTTTGCAAATAGTTTTGAACACTTGTATTAGAGACTCTTCGTAGGAACTATGAGGGATATTATAATTCAGACAGAAATATTATCCTTAAGACTCTTGTAAGTATAGTGGGGGATATAACATGTGCACACAAATAACCATACTACAAGATTTAAAAGGACAAGTATTATAAAGGATAGATAGTGTAAGTGCTGTGGGATTCTTACAGGAGAAGAAAGACTTCTGATGAGGAGGAGCAAAAGGAGAAAATTTTGTGGAGGAGGCATTCAGTATGTTCCTCTAAAGAAAATCAATATTGGAGAAAGCAGCATGAGCAAAACTAAGGAAGGAGGAAAGCACAGGGTGGTAGTAGTGTTGGGAATAGGAAATGAGTTCACCTTTGCCCAAACTTATTGAGCATCAGTAAGGACATGGGGACTTTGAGCTGGACATGTGGCTTTGGATTATTTATTATTAGATTATTTATAAACACTGGTACTTTGATAAAAAGAGATCCATAAATAGATCCACGATTAAGGGGATTTTTATGATTTTTTAAGTATTTAGTAATAAGGTTATATGTGAAGGAAAGCTAGATTTTATATCATTTATTTGGCTCTAAACACTTATTTAGTTTCACGTGCTGGCGTATGTATCAAAGGTATTGTTAGCCCAAGTAATTGGCAGAATAGTAGTGGTCCCCCCTTTATATTGTGATTTTAGAAATACCAGGAAAGTTTGTTTTACAAAATTCTCTGTCCTCTAATACCTGATATTTTCTTTGACATATTCTCTAAAAGCAAGTGATCAATGCCTTGATACATTTCCTTTGTTAAAATACAAAAGACTTTGGGCATAATATGGGAGTCCTGTGTAGGGAAAGAATATCTCTTTGAGTAGGTACTAAGAGTATTTATTTAAATATTATTTAAACTCTTTGAGTAAATACTAAGAGTAAATACTAAGAAGAGAATATCTAGGCCAAATCTGGTTTTAATATTTTTTGACTGACTTTGTAATTTTATATACTCTGTTCTGATGTATCTCAGAAAAATGTCAAATATAAGTAAATGAATATATATATAAACATGAATATAACACTGAGTTCATTGGTAGTTTTTATTTGTATATTTTAATAAAAATTAAATAAAATAATCATTATTTCTGGCCTAAAAGGCATTTTCCAGCACATGAAATCTGAAACCAGACCCTTAGTGAGTAGTTGGATTAGGGATCCTTCTCTGGAGGAAGATTGGCTGTGCTTTCTTAATGACTACCTTGATTTCTGTTAATGAGCTATTCAGATGTATAAAAGGACAATTAAGTTCACTTTCAACCTTCTGCTGTACTATTTTCATCTTGTATAAATAGTTCTTAATAAAGTCATTTTATTCTAAATTGCTTTTATTTTTTGTAATGCCAGCTTTACTTAGAAAGAAAATACTTGAAGAGCTAGCTTATGGTTAACTTATGCCACTCTTCACTTGGCTTTCTTGTTGGTATATTTCATGCTCTTCTTTGTGGTCTTTTTTCCTTATTATCTATTATTTCTTCTTCGATGTAAGACCCATTGCCTTTGTGCTGCTCTTGAATGTTTGGGCCTTCCTTGCTGTCCTTTAACTGGGCCTATTTTGTCCACCCAGTACCCTAACAAAATCTAGACTTCTCTCCCCATCATCTTCAGCCTTGCCATTTTTCCTAATATTCCTCCGTCCCTCCCTCCTTCCCTTCCCTTCCCTTCCTTCCTTCCTTCTGTCTAGAACCTAGAGGTTTATACATTTTGTTAATATTTACAAAGAACTAGTTTTGATTTTGTTCACAATCTCTGTTGTGCCATATTTTGCAGTTGTTTTCTATTCATTTTTACTCCTTTAAATTTCTTTCTTCTATTTTCTTTGAATTTAATATACTTTTTGCTTTGTATCTGTTAAAGTTGAATGCTTGTTTAAATGCTTATTTTGGTTTAATAAACATATTTAAGACAATTAACTTATTTCTTGATATTACTTTGCTTTTCATAGGTATGGTTTATTGTGTTTCTGTTTACTCCCAATTTTAAATATTTCATAATTTCCCTTGTGATCTATTCTTTTTTAAAAAAATGATATTTAATTTTTTAAGAGAAGTTTTGGCTTTACAGTAAAATTAAGAGGAAAGTATAGAGATTTCCTATATATTGCCTAAATTCACTTGTGCTGGATTTTATTTGTATTATTTGATAATCTCTATTGATAAGTGAATGTGATCTGTTTATTTCATGAGGCTATACTATAGTCTCCCCTATTATTGACATCACCCACCAGAGTGATATATTTGTTACAATTGATGACCCTATATTGACACATTATTATTGCCCAACACCCATAGTTTACATGAGGGTTCACTCTTGGTGTTATACATTCTATGGGTTTGGACAAATGTATAATGACATGTATTCACCGTTACGTGGTGTATTTCACTGCCCTAAAAATCCGCTGTGCTCTATTAATTCATCTCTCCCCTTCCCTTTACCCCTGGCAACTAGTGATCTGCTTACTGTCTGAATAGTTATGCTTTTTCCAGAATATCATATAGTTGAAATTATATAGTATGTAGCTTTTTCAGATTAGCTTCTTTCACCCAGTAGTGTGCATTTAAGTTTCTTCCATGTCTTTTCATGGCTGGATAGCTCATTTATTTTTAGCACCGAGTAATAATTCATTCTACTGAAGGATATCGTGGTTGCTTCTGTTTTAGCAATTATGAATAAAGCTACTATGAACATTCATATGCAGGCTTTTATGTGGACATGTTTTAAACTCTTTGAGGAAATACTAAGGAGTGCTATAGCTGGATTACATGGTCAAAGCATGTTTAGTTTTGTAAGGAACTGACAAATTGTCCTCCAGAGTGGCTGTATCATTTCGCATTCCCACCAGCAATGAGTGAGTTCCTGTTGCTCTGCCTCTTGTCAGCATTTGATGTGGTCAGTGTTCTAGATTTTGGCCATTCTAATAAGTGTGTAGTGGTATTTCATTGTTTTAATTTGCATTTCCCTGATGATGTATAATGTAAAGCATCTTTTCATTTATATTCTTTGGTGAGGTGTCTGTTAAAATATTTGGCCCATTTAAAAGTCAGATTGTTTTCTTATTGTTGAGTTTTGAGAATTCTTTGTATATTTTAAATAACAGTTCTGTATCAGATATATCTTTTGCAAGTAGTTTCTCCCAGTCTGTGGCTTGTCTTCTCATTCTCAAGACAGTGTCTTTTACAGAGCAGAAGTTTTTATTTTAATAAAATATAGCTTAAATCAATTATTTTTTCATGAATAATAACTTTGGTGTCATATTTTAAAAAGTCACCACCAAACCAAGTTATCTAGATTTTTCTCCTGTTGTCTTCTAGGAGTTTTATGGTTTTGCATTTTACATTTAGGTTTGTGATCCATTTTGAGTTAGTTTTTGAGAAGAGTGTAAGGTTTGTGTTTAGATTCTTTGTTTTTGCATCTGGATGTCCAGTTGTTCCATACCATTTGTTGAAATGACTGTCTTTTGTCCATAGATCCCTATTTATCCCTATTAATAATTTTTCATCTAATGTCTATTTTATCTGATAACACTATTGCTACAAAAGCTCCTTTGTCAAAGGTCAGCTGACTATATTTATGTAGACTATTTCTGGGCTATCCATTCTGTTCCACTTATCTATTTTTCTATTCTTTTACCAATACCACATTGTCCTGATTACTGTAGCTTTATATTAAGACTTGAAATGAAGTAGTGCTAGTCTTCCAACTTTGTTCTTCTTCAATGTTGTGTTGGCTATTGATCTATGGTTTAATCAATGAGTTATTCAGGAGTATATTTTAATAAGCTATCTTTATTGTTCACTTTTAACAATTGTATTCAAATGTTTAACATTTATTGAGACATTTCATGTGACTTAGAATATGGACACTTTTTGTAAATGCCCCACGTGTGCTTAAGAAGAATATGTATTTTTTCTGCAGAAATATACACACACACACACACACACACACATATATAATATCAGGAATATATCTAATGTTAGATCTAAATCCTTTCTAATTTGTGTGTGCTAAAAAGTTTGGAACTATTTTGTTAGGTACGTATGAATTCATGTTTACCCCATCTTCTTGACCCGTTGTTGTCTTAATCATAATTTGGCATACCTATTTATCCCTATTAATAATTTTTCATCTAATGTCTATTTTATCTGATAACATTATTGCTACAAATTTTTTTGTTATTATTTCTTGGTATTTATTTTCTTGGGAATTTTCACCCTTTCTATGTTCTTTGGTTTTAACTATAGCTTTTATAGCCAACCTGAGCTGAATTGTCTTTGTATTATTTGATAATCTCTATTGATATGTGAACAGAATCTGTTTATTTTTTTGTACTTATTAATTTATATTTATTTTAATATCTTAATTTAGGTTTCTGCTTATCTTCCTTTTTCCTTTTCTTTTTCTTTTTCCTCATATTTGGCCTTATTTTTTTTTGAGACGAGTCTCGCTTTGTTGCCCGGGCTGGAGTGCAGTGGTGGGATCTTGGCTCACTGCGAGCTCTGCCTCCCGGGTTCATGCCATTCTCCTGCCTCAGCCTCCTGAGTAGCTGGGACTACAGGCGCCTGCCACCATGCCCGGCTAATTTTTTGTATTTTTAGTAGAGATGGGGTTTCACTGTGTTAGCCAGGATGGTCTGGATCTCCTGACCTCGTGATCCACCCGCCTTGGCCTCCCAAAGTGCTGGGATTACAGGCGTGAGCCACCACACCCGGCCATCTATGGCCTTATTTAGCTTGATAACATTTTCAAAAATTACTGTGTGGTTTATCTGGTAGTTTGGGAGTTATACATTATATTTCTATTCTATTAAATGTTACCTTTAATATTTCAATGGGAACATTTGTCTCCAAATTTTTCTTTAAACGTTGCTCAGTCTATTTATCCTCTTCTTAAACAAGCTAAGGACCCAGAACCGTTAATCCACTAACTCCTCCTTTTTGTGCCTTCTTTCCCCCTTCTTGATTGTTGGGTTTAAAATTTTAGTTCTACATGAAAAAATCCACACTGATGCCTCTTTTAAATTTTTGTAAGTAATAGCTGTTTAAATTTATAAACATAAACATATTTATAAGCATATTTGTAAATATTAATTTCTGGGCTTACTTGTTTTTTCTTGTGTTCCATTCATTCTTTTGGGTTCATTTTCTTCTTCCTGTGAAGCTTATTTTTTAGTAGCACTTTTGAGGATCTATATGTTTGGGTGTGTTGTATGATTTCTTAGACTTAGTATTTTGGAAAGTCTTTGTTTTGTTCTCAATTTTGCATGACAGTTTAGATTGATTTAGAATTTTATATTTATTTGTATTTTCCCTCAGATGTTTTAAAACATTGTCTTCTGTTAATTATCATTGCTGTCAAGAGTTCTTTTATCAAAGTTGCCATCCTTTTCTAGATAGCCTATCTTTTTTCTATGTGAGAATTTAAGTTTTTTATTCATTATTCTTCAAATATTTATTGATTTCCAGTCAGTGTTGTAGGCACGGCGGGGGGTATACATCAGTGAACAAAGCAGTAAAAATTCCTGGCATTCATTAACCTTGCAGTCTAGGGAGTGAATATATAAGCTAAGATAAAGCTAGATGCTATAATAAATTAAACTCCTAATTATCAGTAGCTTGATTACTTGAGATTTTATTTTTTATTCATCAAACTGTCCCAGTTAGACAGCTCTCCTCCAAACAATTATTAAAAGACCCAGCCTTCTTATTCTGCTATGTGACTCTGCTATCTTTTACATTTGGACTTTGGTACCAATGGTGTCCTAGAGTCACCTCCATTCTAGCAGGCAGGGAGGGGAAAGAGCATAGAGGATTGCATGGCGGGTATTTAGGCACCAGGCTTACAAGGGGCACTTATTTTGACCACATTTTTTCTTGTGGCCAGAACTAAGTCACTTGCCATACTTCAACTTCAAGTGCACCTGGAAAAAGTAGTCCAGCTATGGGTCCAGGAGGAAGAGAAAATACATTTGGGAATCAGCTAGCAGTCTCTGCATGTAGAGATGAATAATAAATGAGTATTTTATATATTGTATGTTAAATAGTATTAGTGTAAAGAAGAAAATAAATCAGGAGGGATTTAGGGAGGGTTGCAATCGTGAATGGGTGGCTGGTGAAGGCCTCATGGAGAAGGTGTGTTTAAGTATACACCTGGGAGAAGTGAAGGGTTGGTACCTTGTGAATCTGACAAAAGAACATTTCAGGCAAATAAGGTAGCAAATGCAAATATCTTCAGGTGGGGGCAATCCTGGTCTGACCAGAGCAGCTGGGAAAGAAAGCTGTTTGGCTCCAGGAGAGGGATTGAGGGGCTGGAGGGAAAATGAGGTCAGCTAGCCACAGATAATGTAGGGGTGTGTGGGGACATGGTGACTTCTATATTTACTCCATTGTTACTGGAAGGCATCAGTAGCTTTTGAATGGAGGATGTTGTCTGACCTATGTTTTATTTGAATAACTCTGGTTGCTGGGTTGGGAGTAGGTCATGGATAGGGGCAGGAAGTAGAACTAGGCCACTTAGGAGGCTATTCTGATAATTCAGGTAAGAGAGAATAGTGGTTTCAGCTAGAGTGTTAATAGTAAAGGTGTTGCGAAGCTATCAGCTTCTGAATATATTTTGAAGGTAGAGCTGACAGGATTTGCTAATGAATAGGACGTAGAATGTACAAAACAGAGAAGAGCCAAAGATGATTGTCTGGCCTCAGTAACTGGAAGAGTGGAGATGTCATTTGCTGAGGGAGAAATCATCAGAATAGGATCAGGAACTCAGTTTTGATGTGTAAAATTTGAGATGGTTTGGTGACATCCGAATGAAGATGTGAGATAGACAAGGGGAGAGGCCCAGGATAAAAATATCTATTTGCCAGTTATCAATATAGAGATGGTATTGAAAGCCATGAGCCAGGACTAAATCACAAAATAAACGTATGTGGTAGAAAAGAGATTCAAGGCCTGAGCCTTGGGACATTCCAATATGCTGAGGTCAGTGAGATGAGGAGGAACTAGCATAAGAGACTGAGAAGGAAGTAAGAGAAGGTAACAGAAAATCTAGGACACTGGAAATCCCTGGAAGCTAAATGAAGAAAATATTTCAAGAAGGAGACAGTGATAAAATACATAAAATGCTGTTAACAGGTCGGCTAAGATGAGGACTAAGATTGACAATTAGATTTAACAGCATGAAAGTTATTGGCGACTTTGACAAAGAATGGCAGGTTGCATTCCCCAGAAAGACCCTCTGACATGGAGGATGAGAGAGATGTTTGTTAATTAGTGCTCTTGAAATAGCCATCTCTGGATTTCGAAAGGGAAGAAAGCAGGAATTGTCAGAGGGAGAAATTGAGCTGTGATGCAGTCTAGCGAAGACTCCCCGGGGCGGGGAGGGGCTTTAATGTTGAGTTGACCCTTCAGAGTTGTCCTGAGTTGGGACAAGTTATCTGAGCCTGCATAAATCCTAGTTGACTAGTCACTGATATTGGACTGCCCTGTAAGGTAACTGTGTGACTCCTCAGACAGGGCAATTCTGAAGGGCAAAGCTGTGGACTATAATCTGGTAGCATTGCTAGCAGCTGGGTAATAAGTTCTTTAGGGGGCTCTTAGTAGTCACAGAGTTCACTAGAAGCAGTTTAAAGTAGCAAGGGCAAAAGTCTGGTGAGAGCCAGTTCAAAAGAGAATGGGAAGAGAAAAATTGGAGATAATCAGCTTAGATGATTCTTTTTTTTTCTTCATTTCTGATACTCACTAGGAAGTGTCTGGGTGTGGATTTATTTTTATTCTTTCTTGGCATCTGGAATGTACTTTTAATCTCTAGATTGATGTCATTTTTCTATACGATACTTCAAATATTGTTTTTCCTCCATTTCCCACCCCCCTCCCCTGAGCTTCCTTTATACACATGTTGGAATCTTTCAGTTTTTCCTTTATATCTTTTTTTTTTTGGTCTCAGTGTTTTTATTTTATTTTTTATTATACTTTAAGTTCTAGGGTACATGGGCACAACGTGCAGGTTTGTTACATATGTATACATGAGCCATGTTGGTGTGCTGCACCCATTAACTTGTCATTTACATTAGGTATATCTCCTAATGCTAACACTCCTCCCTCCCCACACCCTCCTTTATATCTTTTCATTGTTATTTCATCTTTCTTTCTCTATCTCATTTCATCAACTTCTGGGAAACTCCTTAGTGTTATCTTCTAGCTCACTGATTCTCTTATACTGTGTCCAATCCACATTTTATTCTGTATATCAAGCTTATACAGTTTTTGAAAGAACGTATTTTTATTTAAAGGATTCCAATTTGTTCTATTTCATATCTCTATTTTGTTTCTGGCTATTTTGTTTCATATTTTTATATTCTTTTTTAGAGAGATGGTTTCCTCCTCTGTCTCTTGGTAGAGTCTTAACCTACTTATTTTAAATTCTTTTTCATTTTTTTTATTGTTTTCGTTTCCTATGGAGTAAATTACTATTCCAATTGTTGATCTTATTGATCTTATTGGCTGTCTTTCCTAGTGTTAGTTTTGGACATATGTTAAATAATTTTTAAGTTATTTCATAATAATTTTCAGGCTTATGTAGAGTAGTAAGTTTTATTATATTTTTATGTTTTATTTACTTCTAATGCTCACCACTTTCTGTTTCACAGTTTTGTAGTTGCCCCTAAGTTCCCAGTCCAGAACCAGATCTTATATTGGTTCCTTGGGGCTCCTGCCCCTTTGATAGTGATATTTCAAACCTGTTTCTGAGTCAGTGTTGGTGTGGCTAGGGCGTGGTGGTAAGACATGTCTGTCTCCTCTGCCTCTCCAAATATGGAGCTTGTGATAACCCCCTGTATCAAGCACCAGTGGGAAGTTGCATTTCTACCTCTTTTTAGCTAGTCATTTTTAGCAGAGCCTCGCTGTGATCCCCTACCTAACATGAGAATTACTCTGAGTTCTGGTTACTACACTGGAGCTGAACTCCAGGTTGCCTCTACTTGGCTTCTGGGAGCTGGAACAGCATCCACAGCTTCAGTCCCATCACCCCTCTGTATTAATTTTCTATTTCTGGCCCTTGAAGATGACTAAAAGTACATCCCTACCCTATTAATGCCTGTCTCATTCCTTAGGGAAAAGCTTTCAGCCATTTTTTTTTTTTTTTTTAAGACAGAGTCTCATTCTGTTACCAGGCTGGAGTGCAGTGGTGTGATCTCGGCTCACTAGAACCTCTGCCTCCCAGGTTCAAGCAATTCTCCTGCCTCAGCCCTGTGAGTAGCTGGGATTACAGGTGCCTGCCACCATGCCTGGCTAATTTTTGTATTTTTAGTAGAGATGGGGTTTCACCATGTTGGCCAGGCTGGTCTCGAACTCCTGACTTCAGGTGATCCACCTTCCTCAGCCTCCCAAAGTGCTGGGATTACAGGCGTGAGCCACCCGTGCCTGGCCTTTCAGCCAGATATCGATGAGAAAAAGATAGGTGCTTTGATAATAGTTACTCAATGTGTTATTCCTCCCAGGGATTTTTTTTTTTCTAGAAAGATGTAAATGCTAGACATGATACTGTATGCATCAATGATGTGTTAATTGTGGACAATATTTGCTTTCTTGGGGACTCTTCATGTTTCTAAAGTCACCCATGTAGTACACAAAATATTATACCTATAGATCTCTTATCCTTTCTCTTTCTTCTGTTTTAATTCTTTACAGAATCCACACATATTTATAGACTCAAGAGTAGAGTTTATTACTAAGTCCTTCCATGCATATCATGTCCCTAGAATTCCCTTCTTTTCTTCTTTGATGATGTTGACGAATATGGCCTTGAGGCACTCGCCATCCTTCTTTGTGTTCTCTGTTCTTTCTATGCTATTCCCACCCTCCCCGAGTCTGCTGCTTGCCCTATTTCTCAGAGAACTCATTCTCTCTCTTGGTTTTACATATCATCTCTGGTTTAAACTACTCTCAAATTTAAATCTCCAATATAGAATAAGATCCAATAAGAAGTAACAGATATGGAAATGAGTACTTACTGAGTGGACCAGGTGTAGACCTGTCATAAATGTTTTTAGACATTCATTCATTTGGTCTTGCAGTAGCCCTGTGAGATATAAAGATTATACAATGATTATTACAGATGAAAGAGCTTAGTCTATGAGGGTTAAGGAAATTGCTGTCCTAATTTCTGGGACTGTGCAGCTCCCAGGATTCAGGACCTTAAGTTTTAAAGCCGGGAAAATCTCAGGCAGACTGGAATGAATTGATTACTCAAGGCCTAAGGCCCTTGATTAGGAAGTGATTAAGCCTGGGCTTGAACCCAGTCCCATCTGAGCAAGTCTGTGCTCTTCACCATGACGTCATACTGTCTCTGTTAGAACAAAGTAGAATAAGAGAGTTCAGTCAGAGAGCAGAAGGTAAAGAAAGAATTCACGGAGGGGAGATTCACGGAGGGTAAAATTCTGGAATTTCATCAGGGGGATTCTTGCTTCATCAGGAATCAGGAAACCCATATTCTGGTTCCAGTTCATTCACAAATCCAGTGTTAAGCTGAAATCACTTACAGCCCTATGTTGCTCTTCCCTCTCCTGTGAAATGAGAGGCTAAACAAATCAACTCCCAAGATTGTTTTCAATTTTAAAGTTGTTTTCCTTGAAACTATCCCTTACATATAAACGCTCCAAAACCATTTCAGACCTTGTAAATATTAGCTAGTTTTTACAAGTTTATAGAGATAAAAAAGAAAACAGAAAATATAAGCCAGAATTTTGCAATATTTCATGATTTGCTCAAATTTCTAGATTTTGCTCTTTAACATCACTATTTCTAAGCACAGCATAATTCTATTGGAACAGTTGAACAGTTTTGGCCTCTAATTTAGTGTATTTAATTTGTTGTAATTAACTTTATGGTGTTTTCATTGTTGTCTTTAACTGTTAACATAGTGTCCCAAACATCTCAGCGGGGAATGCTTTATAAATTTTCTCTCTTTATTGTTATTTATAAAATGTTAATGGCTTCTATTTAAGGCATGTGAGATTAATAACTGGGAGAATGTACTTTTATAACAGCACTGTTTTAATCTGTGAAAATCACAAGAAAAACAGAGTCACAACATGCCACAATTATCAGTGAAGGCATAACTGCATGTATTGATACGGGACTCTTCATAAAATATTTTGAAATCATTTCTGATATAGTAGTGTTCTAAGGAAATAAGGCTCTTATTACCTTTTTTGTTCTTGGACATATATGCCCTAACTGATACATTTCTAACTGAAATCCCCCAGAAATAAAATTTACAATAAGACATAGCTTCTAATATTTTAACATTTTGTTCAAGGAAAGCGTCACTCTATTACCCCCACCTCTGCCTTTCTCTCGGCATATGAGGGTTGTATTCAATGACTGAATGGGAATTTCAGGTGAGAAAAATGTGGAATAATGTGAACTTTTCTGAAACCAGTTTTTGGAGAGTGTGTGTGTGTTTCATTACCGTTCACTTTGTATCAAAGTACTTAGCTCCTCATTGGATAATTATGGTCTTCCTATCAAAATTTTATCAAGATAACAAGAGGGAAAAAATTAAATAAGCAAAGCCCATTAGTCACATTACAAAAATTCATGAGAGGTTATACATACATTTCAGTAGTAGCGGGATTTCCAAATAAATATTAGGAACTCTGAGAAAACAAAGAAGATTGTAATGCTAATGCTTTAGGACTTCTTTTCAGGAATTCAAATAAACAGTTTTTATAGAGTTTTATTACTTGGCTAGTCATGTGCTCAGGCTTATGGAAGACAAAGAAATTTAAACAGCTAGTTCCTGCACTGGTGGGGCTTACAATCCAGCACAGATCTTGGTGGCTTTTACCAAAGCTTGATGCTTCATATTTCTTTTGAGTGAGTGTAAGAAGAGAAATGGAACCACCTGTAATGACTAGGGTAGTATTTTCAGGGTTCTAATAGGTTATATTGAAACATTAATAAAGTATATATAATTACTGTTAAGTAAATTGTAACTGATTTATAACATATAATCAGAAAAGTGCACAATTCCTGTGTATAGCTCAATGAATATTGACGAAGTGTACACATCTCTATAATCACCCTCTGATAAAGAAATGCCTACCCCCTGGAAGGTATTCCAGAGGCCCTCCTTGTGCCCCCCACCTCAGACCCTGCACTCTTTCCTCACAGTTCTCTATTATCCTGTTTCCTATTGTCATTAGTAAGTTTGGCCTGTTTTTGAACTTTATATTATTAAAAACATAGACCGTGTCCTGATTATGCTGGCTTCTTTCAAAATAATATATGTGAGAATATACTATGTCTTTGAATATACCAGTTTATTTTCACTGATGTGAAATATTCCATTGTATAAATAAAATGCAAATTGTGTATTCTACTGTCAGTGGACATTTGGGTTGCTTCTAGTTTTTAGCTGTTACAAATAGCACTGCTATGATCATTCTTATATGTGCCTTTTGGTATACATTATAAGCCTTTCTGTTGGGAGTCTGAGGGATGGGTCATGGTTAGGTACGGATTCAATTTTTAAAGATAATACCAAATGGTTTCCTGAAGACTACCAACTAACACTGCAACAGGCAGTGTGTGAATATTTCAGTAGTTCTATATCTGTCTCAACATTTGGTATTTTTAAAGAAGCCATTCTTTTGGGAGTGTGATGGTCGTGGTTTTATTTGTGTTTCCTGGGTGATGAATGAGTTTTGAATGAATGTCTTTTCACATGCTTCTTTCCCATTTTGTTGCCTATTTTTATATTCAACTGCCTGTATTTTTCATTGATTTGTAAAAGTTCTTTATATTATAAGGTACATTTGTGCTTATAATTGTGGATGATACATGGACTAAAATTCAGTATTTCGATTTATTCTAGTAGTTGATCTCTACTCAAGTATGGGTCTATCTAACATTGATCATTTCCTTTTTACCCCCAAGTTACTCCACCTAACCACTATGAATGATAGTCTTGTCTCACCAACCCCAGCCCATCATCTGTTGGTAAGCTTTGATCTTCAGTGACCTTCAATGTACATGTCCATGTATTGCCAAATCATATTTTATACATAACAGTATCAAAATCCTAAAATAAGATCACAGAAAAACTCCATAGCTTGTTGAATATGGCTCAGAATAGTTGGTTTTACCCATTAAGAGAGTCAAAAGGTGAAAAAAAGAGTGTATTTTAGCCAAAAAAAGTAAGAATTTTAAAGTATAATGGGAGAGTGTTCTCAGTTTAACATCTCCTTTTTAATGAGTTGAGAACTGAAATGTATTAATAACTGCTTTTTTGTGATTTAAAGATTTAAATATTTCATGTAAGCTGGGAATATTTGAGATATCTTAATTAATGTAAGTGTCCATGCATGCCCATAAAAGAATAGAACATAATATCTATTTTATGAAATAGTGAAAACTTATATCCAGAAGGTACCTTTGAAGTCATTGATGGTGTGCCTCTGAACTTGGAGTGCTGGGGTTGAAGGTGGGTGGGAGGTAGTCGGGAGTGATGGGCAGTTCAGGGAAAGCCCATGAGATCCTCTTCAGTCAGAGCAGCCAGGCTTTCCACCTGTTATTCTCATTGACTTCTGAGACAGAGTTTCTTTAAACATAAGTTGAAGCTGCTATTTTTAATATTATGGGTCTATTTTAAATCTTTTGCTTCTAGACGAGGTAGGATTCAGAGAGGTTAATTGGTTTGCTTCAGATCACTTTGGCAATGGCAGAATCAGGATTGAAATCCAAGTTTGCTCTCATCACAGTGCTCCTAGACTCTGAGCTTTGTGTTAGCTAAAGTGATATCCTAATGATTCATTTATATTATTTCCTTCCCACTTCCTGGTTCTGGGTAATATATTAACCTGAATTAATTAGAAATTTAGAGGAAGGTTTCTGCATCAGGAAAGGAGTATGATTTCATGGGCTTGCCACTGTTCCATGTGGTCCCTGCGTTCCTAGCTAGCCTGATATTAATCATAAATTCATAGAGTATCTTCTTTCCAACTCATTTTATGGCCCTCTCACAAGTTTGGATTATAGTTTAATTATGTAATTATAAATTTCTTGTTCTCCTATCATCTACTGTAGTTGGACCTCTGTATCCGTGGATTCCACATATGTAGATTCAACTAAACATGGATTGAAAATATTTTTTAAAAATGGACAATTGTGTCTGTACTGAATGTGCAGACTTTTTTCTTGTCATTATTTCCTAAACAATATGGTGTTAGAACTACTTGCATAGCATTTACATTGCATTAGGCATTATAAATAATCTAGAGATGATTTAAACTATATGGGAGGGTGTGCATAGGTTATATGCAAATACTATGGCATTTTACATAAGGGACTTGAGCATCTGCAGATTTTGACATCTACAGGGGTCTTGGAATCGATCCTTCATATACAGAGCAATGACTGTATACCTTTGCACATTTTAGATGCCTAATATTTGTCCTGTTATATTGGCCCTCATTGGAACTTGTTCTGTTTGGTTTTCTTTACCTGCTCTCCTTTCTCTTTTCTTATTCCTATTGTTTGGTGCTAGCAGATCTGATGATTTGGTCAGAGACACCAGGAGACTTGACAGAAGTCAGTTAGAAAGAAAATCCAGAAAATAACCTAAAGGTCCTTGTTGACTTAGTAGAGGAAAAGTGGAAGGGGGCTTATACTTATCAGAGAAGGGTGACTAGGACAAAAGCTGGGAGGGAGGTCCTAGTGGCCTAGGCTTGAGAGACACCTGATGAGGCCTGCAACTAGGGACATGACCAGAAGTGGCCTGGTCTAGACTCCTTTTTTTTGGTTTTCTTCTCCAGAGTTACAGAGCGCAGAGTGAAGTAGAGAAGGTCAGGAGGGAGGCACGAACTCTTGCCCATGCAGTTGATTTCTTGGATTTGGAGCCAACTATTTTTTAGCATAGTACACAAAAGCAATGGAATAATAGTGTTTTAGAAACTGATGGGGTCTTAGAGATCTTCTTGCCCAAAAATTTTACCTTGTAAATGAGAAAACTAAGTCCAAGAGAAGTCAAACCAAGCCTTCTGGCTCAGTTCTGTGTGGAGTTGTGGAATGGCAGTACTATGCTTATCACCCATATATACTCAGTTGCATAAGAGAGAAGAGCTCAGGGCAAGAGATTACGTTTTATTTTAAATGAAGTTCAGAAACCATGGAAGGGAAATAATATGATCTGATACACAATTAAGATCACTCCTGCTGTGTGGAGAATGAATTGGCAGAGAAAGAGAGGAAATTGGGAGAGCAGTTAAGAAGCTATTTCAGCAGTCCCAGAATGAAATGATTGTGGCTGGGAGATTAAGATGGGGAGAAGCAGATGTATTTTTAAGTTAAAAACCTAGAAGACTTGATGAATTGGATGTGGTAGACAAAAATATAGGAGAAATAAAAGATTTATGGCTTGAGCAACTAGGTAGATATAGGTACAATTTCTAAGACAGAGAAATGGGGAAGGGTGAAAGTATGATTCAGGGTTAGGAGGATTGAGGTGGAGGGACAGTGGGGAGAAAGTTTGGGGTAGTAAATGAGGACTTCCATTTGCCATAATATCAACTGCTGAAACTACCTTTCCAGATCCCTGGAGCATGGCTTGTTTCCCTGCATCCTGCTAATTACGATAAGGCTTTTTTTTTTTTTTGCCAAAAGAATACTGAATTATAAGAGCCATGATAAAGCCTTGGCTTGTCTTGTCTTTTTCTTTTCTTTGAGACAGGGTCTCACTCTGTTGCCCAGGCTGGAATGCAGTGGCACGATCACGGCTCACTGCAGCCTTGACCTCCCAGGCTCAACTGATCCTCCCACCTCAGCCTCCAGTAGAGTAGCTGGGACTATATGAATGCACCCCACCCAGCTAATTTTTGTATTCTTTGTTGAGAAGGGGTTTGACCATGTTGCCCAGACTTGTGTTGAACACCTGGGCTCAAGCAATTGTTCTGCCTCAGCTTCCCAAAGTTCTGGGATTTTAGTAATGAGCCACTGCACCCAGCCTTAAAGTCTTATCAGTCATCTACTTTAGGAATGTCAAGCTAAGAAGATAAGGTAGGGAAATAGTTTCTACTTCTGTTTGTCTTTCATCCATGTAGAAATGGAATTAGAAATCCTTAGCATTCCTGTAACCGTTTCAGAGAGCCTTAAGTTGCATCTACTGTAAAAGAAAGGGTGAGAGGACTTTTTCACAAATGTGCTGAAGGAAATGTGAGAAGGTAGGTCATCCTTGTCCAGTATGCTGTTGCCATAATTACTGATTATACAAATAGCAAATGCTTTTTGAGATCCTTCCAAATACCAAGCCTTGTTCAAGGCTTGTTGCAGAGAGGAAAACAGAATCTTTGCCTTTATGGAAGTTACATTCTAGAACGTTGGTTATGTCAATGCCCTGTTCAAAAACTTTCAATAGTTCTTTGACCATTTCAGCAGCATAAAATGTAGCCCTCTGCTAAAATCAAACAGACACACAACTTGATGTCCCCCAGACTACGAGTATTCTCACCTCCATGCCTTTGCTTGTACTATTTCTCTCACCTCTCTGTCTTCTCTGCTCTTAAGTTAGGCATTCTGATCCACTCAGGACTGGTATTCAGTACCACAGGGGTGTACTGGCCAGCATTTGGTTCTGATTAACCCTGTGCTCACCCTTCCAGGTGTAAGTAGCTCAGTTCTTCTTGAACTCTCTTTTATGTCACCTTCTCAGGCCTCGGTGATGTTGTCTTCATTTGAACTCATAGTACTCACGGATTTATATCACTTATTTCACAAAGCTCACAGATTTCCTTATGACATCTGGCATACTTTTTGCATGTTGTTTGCATCTTTATTTAAAATTTGATTTATGTTTTTGGCTTTTTTTTCTGAAATAAATGGCAAGTCCTTTGCACAGCTCAGGCACTAAATATGCTTTTATTAATTGATGGATGCATTAGGAAGGACTCAGCATCTCGTAACTGTCTGCTGGAGACTTAAAGTGGAGAGGGGCCCCATTTGCTGATATTTTGTGTCATTGTGCCCATCTCTAAGCAATTCCATCCTTCCTGGCCGTTCTACACCCCCAGCTCCTGTCTCAGAGTCCTCCCTCATCACCTCAAGTTTGCAGGGACATTACCATGCCAGCACCCCTTAGGATGCTTGGCTAGTTTTTTGCATTAAAAGGACAGTGGGATGTCTTGCTTTCCAGCCAATTTAATGCAGGCTGACACTCCTGGCACACTGAATTAAGGTGGAGGAGCCAACAGACCCAGAGAAGAGTCCATTTCTGTGGAAATTAAAACAAGAAAATGATGGAGCACAAAACATTTTTATTTCCTTCTTATACTTAAAGAAGACAGTGTAGTTAAACCAGGCCAGAAGATGAGTTCTGATTGTTAATTGCTGAGGGAGATGCAGTATTTTAATTTATCCCAGTTCATTTGCAGAACTAGGCAGACAAGGTACATGTTCTGTGCTCTAGCCCATGAGATGATGCTGACAATTTGAGAATTAATCATTTTTGGATGTTCCAGATTTGCTATTTTAAAACTGTACCTGCAATGGTATTTTCCCCGCTCTGGGTAGAAGCTGAGGAAAAGTGTTGTAGCCTTTTATCTAAGAGCATGAGGCTACAGGGTCCTGACTTTCATAGGGCAAAGCTGGCTTACAGATTTACTGAAATAATTACCAAATTATTTAATAGGTTTTGAATTCTGAACTCATAGTTTGTTAGTCGAGTCTGCCAACTGAACAATTATACATAGAATCTTAGAACAAGGGTCTCCATGGAACTCTGCTAAAGCATTTAATATTCCCATTTCTAATTGTAAAGCCATTTGAGCATGTAGTAGTATGCACTGGTGTAACTGACTCCTTGGATATAGAGGTAACATTTGATGCATTTTGGATAATGCTTTTGAAGTAATGATAATGTCAAATGTAGAAGGGCTCAGCTAATGAACCCATTAATCAGCCCTTTGTTGAGCACCTCTAGAATGCAATGCACTGAGCTGGGAACCATGAAGGATGAGGCACAAGGCAGACTTCATTCCTCTAACTGAACATTTAAATATTCTGGGAAACTTTCAAAAATGCCAGATGCCTAGGTCCCACTCTAGACATATATTTAAAAACTCCTTAGGTGATTCTGATATTCATCCAGCATTGAGAACTACTGGTATAAAGTATAGTTTTGTTTTCAAGGCATTTGGAGTCTAACTGGGAATGTATAGGACTAAAATTGGGAATATAGATATATAGTATATATCGATCACTCTGTGTTTTTAGCCCCTTACACAGACAGCTTATGTTAAGTTTCTAGGGAGAGGCATGGACAACATAACTACTGTATTTAAGAGAGGAACAGATCACAGGAAAAGAGGCTGGGTGGTCATGGAAGAGGTAGGATTTGAACCTAGGCTTTGAGGGCAGGTAGGATATAAATAAATATAGATGAGAGGTCAAGGCATTCTGAGTGGAAGGCTGGCATAAACCTAAGCTGAAGGCAGGAGTGTATAAGGTATGTGCCAGGTATTAACTGGATATTAGTTGAAAGTAGTAAGAAAGCAAGTAGTAGAAAGTAGTAGGAAATCGGAGAGACCTGCATAGGGTCTTGAGCCCAAACATCTTTTGAGTTTTGCACATGCCACTACATAGCTTCTTACCTTGACAAGCTATTTTACTTCTCTAAGCTCCAATTTCCACATCTGCCAAATATTCATAATAATAGTTCTTATCAGGTTGCCTAGACCCAGTAAGGCAATGTGTATATGAGTACTCGATAAACTGCAGAGCCCTACCCAATGCTAGCTATTGTTACTGTGTTTTGGAGGGGAAGGCATTGAAGGTTATAGAGCACAGAAATGACATATAAAAAGTTTTAATCATTCACCCTATTTACCTATGAGTGAGCAAAAGAAATAGCTAAAAATAAATATTTATCATCACTGAATTACTTAATGTAACTGTGTTTAAGGACTTGGAGCTCACACTTTAAAAAAGAAGATCATTCTAACTGCCCCTCATGACTACTGAAGAGGCTATGCCTGAAAAAGCAAAATGTGAGTATCTGTGCTTACCTAACATAGTACAAGTCATAACACTCCAACTGTTTTAACCACTCTTTTCTATTAATTAGTGACCCTCAGAGCACTACACTTATTGGCACATCTTGAAAGGATTTATTCCATTCCCTTTATTTAAAAATAACCAACTTTTGAGAGATCTTTTTAACTTATTGTGCTGTCCCATATGGTATCCACTTGTCACATGTGGGCTATTCAGTCCTTGAAATGTGGCTGGTGAAACTAAGGAACTGAATATTTAATTTAAATTTAATGAATTTTAATTTAAACTTAAAAACTGATAATTCAGTTATTGGAAAACCTTTAAGCATGTTTGGAACAAATTTGGGCATATAAATCTATTTTTTCAAGTGATGATTTTATAAAATGTAAATACAGATTAAGTAGTTCTGATAAAAATTTAGCATGTGAGTTGTGATGTATGTAAGTACAAACAAAATACATATAGAGTTTCGAAGATAGAACAAAAAAGAATGTAAAATATCTAATTCATTTTAAATATTGATTAATGTTGAAGTGGTAATATTTAGATGTATTTTATTTAAATAAAATATTCTATAAAAATTATGTTACACAAATTAATTTCACCTTTTTTAGTATGTCTACCAGAAAAATTTAAATTACATGTAAATTACATATTCAGTTCACACTGTATAATCTTCTAGCTTTATTGAGGTACAATTCACAAATAAAAATTAAATATAAAGGTGTGCAATGTGCGTGTTAACATGTATACACATTGTAAAATTATTACCTCTATCGAGCTAATTATAATATCCATTACTTCACATAGTTAGCTTTTTTTCTGGTGTGATGAGACTACTTAAGATTTCTCTCAGCAACTTTCAGGTATACCATACATTATTATTAATTACACATTATATTTCTTTTAGAGTTAATCTAGACTTGGCAGCAAATACAAGCAATCCTAACATATAGTGCCGCACATAGAGCTGAGGTTATTACTGTTCTGCTACTTCCTCTTGGCTCCTGTTACCCCTGACAGTGTATGATACAGGCCAGCAAGCATCTGCCCAGGGCTGCCAATAGAGCTCTGTGATGATCACTTTAACTCTCTTTTTATGTGGATAACACAGAACACTTTTAAAGATGGGAAGGTCAGAAAGGGTGGAAGATCCAGGAAGTGGAGGAGGAATATTCTCTAGTTCCATTTTGCTTTAGGTCATGCCCACATGACCTTGATGCTATGAGCCTGGCATTTCCCTACATCTCCTTAGTAACCTGACCACTGTCTGAGAAATATTAACATAGAAAGATTTTTGGGCAGTACCCTGTAAGATATGTCTGAGGTATATATGAAACTTATTAGCATTTCTTGGTGCAAATAAGGCAGGATACTTTGTTAAAGAAGACCAGAGAATAAGGGAGGGGGAAAGTAAGTCAGTAAGAGACAACTCAACAGAGTGCCTTTAATTTAGAACTGAAGAGTTGAGTCTTAATGCAGAATGTATTACGGAAAAAAATGTTGAATATGTGTTTTAGGAGATGATAACCAGATGCCACTTGAAATTTGGGTTTCATTTGGTTCTTTAACTCTTTTTAGGAATAAATTAGAAATAATTTATGTTTTCTTCACTTACATGTAATGAAATTAATATAAATTATTGTATTTGAAGTTTTTGTCCAAAGAGCTTCTATTTACTTTCCAGCTCCATAACTCTTTACCCTAGAACTGATGGCCTTAATTCCAGCTTCTCTCCTCTTCAGCTTCTCCCCTCTACAGCTTCTCTCCACTTCTTGGCACTCTAATCCTTCTCTCCATCTGAACCTGTTTACAAGCAGGTTCTTTCCACAGAGGCACTGTTATTCAGACCTTTATTTGTTTTTTGCTTAGCTGTTGTATGTTTACTTTTCAGCAAAGAAATTCTGCAAAATAAAACTTAGGAAGAGCTCAAATATGTAAAACAGATAAGATCTGAGCCTCTGATTGAAAGAAGGAAGCACCCCCAAGGCACATGAAATTAATGAAGCACATATTTAAAACCACTGCCTTAGCCTGGCTTCCATTCACTTATTTCTCTTGGAGTATTTCTGTTTTCAATATTATTTTCAATAATACAGTGTAAAGCTTTATCTTTTTAAAGGGAAATTCATACATTAGTGCGCTAGCGGTAGGGGGTGTTGGTGGTTTATGTTGGCTTCTATCACAGTGCCTATCTTAACTGACTGTCAAGGCATTTATTTACACATTTTTTCTAGCACTAGACTCTTAAGCACTTGGAAGACAGAAATAGCTAGTCTTACTTATTTTAGCACATTTAGCATCAAAACAGCATCTAGCACTTAGTAGGTACTTAAAAAATGTGTGCTAAACTGACTCCCATTGTGTCTGAGGTGGGGCTTTTGTTACACCTGTCAGGCATTTACTCTGATTACATACACAGGGTTGGCCTTAGCCATGTGGCCACACATCTTTGCTTAAGATTATCTTTTAACTAAAATTTTGTGAAGCCTCTCTGAAGAATGTAGCCTATTAATGGGAAGGATGTAAACCCTCTGAGTATGGCCAGTTGTTTTTATTATCGTTATGAAAAGCAAATGTTTTTAAGCCCCTGGGTCTTTTCGGATACAGAAAATACTTACTCAACAATTCTAATTAAGAGATGGCTTATTCTCTGTCATAGTTTCCATAACTAGATTTTCTTTTTGTATCTTCACTTCAGAGGCTCACTGGAGCAACTATGTAGAACCTCTAAAGTAGTAGAGAAATCTGGTTTTATGAACCGTCATCACAATTGTGTTAAGCTGATGATATATGAAAAATGAGGTTTTTTTTTAAAAGATAAATGTGTGAAAATGTTTTAGGCTAGTGAAATATTTGGGATTAGAGCTACTCATATTTTTTTTCCTATAGGAATGTTAGTATTTGCACTCATGTCTTAGATGAGTTTAATATGACCATTTCAACCTCTTCATGAACTTTATTGCAAAACATTTATTATTACTTGTAATGACTTACTATTGCTTTTGGGAACTTTAATAACATGAAGAATCCTATGTATGAAAATATTTTATTAACTGCAAACATATTAGTTAGTTTTGGATAAAAAGGAATTTTAATAAGACAATTTACCCAAACTGCATTAGGAAGTTATCTTTGTGATTCTGAAGAAATGAGGGTTGACTAAAAAAAAAAAAAAAATTATATAAACACTGTTGGGGAAAAGTTTAGCCCAATGATGGTAATGCAATAATCTCAAAAATAATACAATTTCTCACATTTATTGAAAGCTTATATGTTAGGTGCTGTGCTGTTTTGTAACAGTGTTTAAGTTAATCTTCAGACAAATCTCTGTGACATATATTATTATTATCCTCTGTTTACAAATAAGAAAAATAAGGCTTAAGACAATAAGGTTCATGAGCAAACTGGAATTCAAGCACAAAATAGTGTGACTCAGGAATAAGAGCTCTTAAAAATCATTCTATATACTATCAATATGTATTTACAAATTAAGTTATAAGTATAGTTTTCATAATAAAGAAGGAACAGACCTTGGCAACTTCCGCAAAATAATAGGTGAAGTGCACTTGAATGTGTAAAAGATGCAAGCTTATATTCTTACCCCATTATGAACAAAGAAAAGAGAAGCCTCAAAGATTATTGACTAGATGGAGCTTTAATAAAAATGTTGTTTGATTTCTTGTAATTTTTAGACTCATTTGTGGGATAGATACATGTCCTTGGAAATTATAAAAATAAATGATGCTAGCATTGTCTTTTCTAAGGCATTGAGGTATGAGTTATCTTGTGCTATCTTGTGAATTTCACTCTTGTTCAAGGGCCACTTTTTAGTGATGGTAGAAAATCAGAACAGCTACCTCAGTGCCTCAAATGACAACAAGGGCTCAGGACTGCCAGCTGGAAGTCAATGTCCACATGACTTCATTGGAGCCATTTCAGGATCTATGTGAAATTGCTGCTTTCTGACCTTGGCTGCCTTTCTCTGCTCCTTTATGAACAGTCTCAGGCCTTGTTCTGCTCAGTAATCTCATGGCCTGACTGTAAGGGTATGCTGTGACAATACCTTGATATGTCAAGATCTGCTTTCTGGCCCCAGCAAGGCCATTAGCGCTACTAGAGCGCATATAGTTTCTCCACGGTCCACAGGTGATGGGTGGCACTTGTGGACAGGGGAAATCAGGGACTAATCAACAAAGAGCCCAGCAAGGAAGAAAATGCTACTTTGGGAATTTAACTCCTCTGTCGAAAGCTAATTCTAGTTACAAAGGGGGAAGTCGAAACAGCTGCATCAGCACATTAAATGACAACAAGGGGCAGGATTGCTGGCTTAAAATGCAAGTGTCAGGGAAACGTGCGTATCTCACCAGTGTGACCAGCCAAGTTTCAGAGGAATTTCCAGTACTCATGAGGTGTACATGGCACTGGGAAAAGCAGTACATTTGTAGAAAAGAGCAGCAAGGAACTCAGGAGCACAGTGCCTGTGCAGAGCCGCAGCACTGCTGTGTGACTTCAGCAGGCTGTCAGGTCTCTGCTTCTCAGAATTTGCCTATAAATGAAGACTAGAACATCTCTAAGGTCTTGTCTGAAATAAGACATGATGGTTTCCACAAAGCTACATTTTGAACAACAACAAAAAACCAGTGACTTAATATATTAATAAATTATATTGCTTGTCATGTGTCATGCACATGACAATGTTGTAATTATAAGTGATTGTAATTAAAGTAATTGTAAGGGATATTTGATTAGTCAGAAAAAGGGAATTAAAAGAGGAAAGGACTGTCATGAGAGAAGGAAAAGGAGGGCAGGTTGTGAAGTCACACCTAGGAATAGCTTGCTGGCTTTCCTCCATGAAGTAAATGCTCTGGCTAGAGGCCTCCTCAAAGCAAAATTGGATTTTGGTTGAAATTTGATGAAACAGTTTTAATTCCAGAACTCTTGCCCTTTCCGTGTGAGGACAGTGCTTCTTTTGGCTTGAATTGGAAAATTAATGTGAACCGGGCTCCATTCCTCAGGACCTCATTACCCTAAGGTAACAGCTACCTGTGGCCTGTGAGTCTACGTGGTGAAAAGCAAGGAGATATTTTGTGCAAGAATAAAGAGAGAGTGTGGCCTTCAATAATTTATTATGAAATTTTCAAACACACAGCAAACTTGAAAGAATTTCGAATCAATGCCCATATACTTACTACCAAGTTCTTACCATTAATATTTTACTGTACTTGATTTGTCACATACCCATCCATCAATCAACATGCATATCATTAGTTAGAATTAATTATTTCTTTATAGTTTTTCTTCTTTTGATGTAAAATGTACATACAATGAAATGCACAAATCTTAGGTGTACATTGAGTACACTAATGATAATATATGCCTGTATAATCCAAATTCCTATCAAAATACAGAACATTCCCATCACTCCAGAAATTTCCTTCATGTCTCTTCTCAGTTAATCCATCATACCTTCCCACAGAATAATAACTGTTTTGTTTTTTCCACCATAGATTAGTTTTACCTGTTCTAGAACTTTGTATAAGTGGAACCATATAGCATGTGCTTTTTTGTGTAAGTCTGCTTTAACTTGGCATAATATTTTTGAAATTTATCCGTAGTGGTGTACATGTCAGTACCTCTTTTTATTGCTAAGTAGTAGTTTATTGTACACATATAACCACAGTTTACAAACTCTTCTGTTGTTACATATCTGGGCTGTTTTCAATTTAGAATTATTATGAGTAAAGCTACTGTAAACATTTTTGTACAAATCTTTTGTAAACATACATTTTCATTCTCTCTGGTAAATACCTAGGATTGGAATTGCTGGGTTGTAGGATGGGTGTATATTTAGCTTTAAAAGAGATTGCCATACCTTTTCCAAACTGATTATGCTATTTTACATTTCCACCAGCAATACTTGAGGGTTCCAGTAGCTCTACAGCCTCATCAACACTTGGTGTTATCAGTCTTTTCAATTTTAGCCGTTTTGGTGAGTGTAGTGGTATCTCATTATAGTTTTGATTCACATGAAGATTGAGTTTTTAATTGCTTAAAATTTGAGTGGGTGAAGAGTAGAGAAAACCTTCATAGTAAGAGTACTAATAGAGATAGAGTTATAAAAACAGAGAGCCCACTGGCCAGACTTTGAATAGGTAATATATTTAAATTTTGCTGAGTTTGAGTTAAGAGGAGGAAGCCAAGAAACACTTATAAGTGTCAGGATCCACTGATACAATTCCATTTTTAGTATTTGTGCTGCTGAAGCAAGCACACAATCAGCTAATAATAAAGAAAATATGTAAAGAGGAAAACTTAGACAAGGCTGAATGAGAATGATGTAGTCTACATGCTGTAGAATTGTATACATAACCCTGGTTAAAAGAAATTAAGAAACTTAGGCTGGGTGCTTTCGGTCACACCTGTAATCCCAGCACTTTGGGAGGCCAAGGCAGGTAGATTGCTTGAGCCCTGGAGTTCGAGACCAGCCTGGGCAGCATGGTGAAACCCCATCTCTACAATAAGTACAAAAATTAGCTGGATGTGGTGGTGCACGCCTGTAATCCCAGATACTCAGAAGGCTGAGGTGGGAGGATTGCTTGAGCCTGGAAAGCAGAGGTTGCACAGAGCCAGAATTGTGCAACTGTACTCCAGATTGGGCAACAGAGGGAGACTCTGTCTCACAAAAAAAAAAAAAAAAGTCGAAAGAAATTAAGAAACTTAGAAAAATCCATAGACATGTGTTTTTGAATTTCAGTGCTGCTTCTATTTAATAAATTTATTGAGGTATTTTATTTTACAGTTATAATTTTATCAACAAGTTGGAAGGTAAATACTCTTGAGGAAATGTACAGCTTCATACATTAGTCATCAAGTATGGAAAACACAGACTTGTTAATAACTTTTGTGCCCAAAACATGTTGTTATATCTTCTATACAGTAACATTTAAAGGACTTTCAGAACTGAAGGATGTTTCTGTTTTGTATATTTTCTTTGTTTTTTCTGGACTGAAGTAACTTAGGATAACCTATCTTATCACCTGACCATTACAACCTTATATTTCTTCTTAAAAGCAAAATATTATGTTAAGAGATCATTGTATTTCTTTTGCTTCCTTTTATAATGTCAACTTGTAAAATTTACTTTCACATTAACTGCTTAAAAAATGTTTCTCTGTTTGTATATTAGGTCCTACATTAGAGATCACCAAGCAAGACTTTTTTCAAGAAGCAAAAACTCTCATTGCCCAACATTATGAGAAAATAAATGAGGTTAGTCCTTTGCATTTATCTAATGTTACATTTTAAAATTTTTGCATACTACAAGGATTCTCCCAAAGGATTGCATAAACCCTAAGATATGATAGAATAAATAGAAAAGAGAATAGAATTGAAGAGAAAAATGAAATGCTCACTAGCTATAAAAATTGATTTCAAATGACATTTTAAAATAAGATTTTTTAGTTGTATGAATTTTAATTATACAAATGTGTTTAATTTGTACATTTAATACAATTTAAATTTTTTTTGAAGAATTTTAACATAAATAATTGGATTTATCATGTCACATAAATATCCCTTTAAATGCTGTTTAGTCGAAGCTAAACTAGAAAATAAATTGTGAGATGAGTCTCTTCTATACCCTTAGCATGATTACCTTAGCATGATACATTATATTCCATGTATCTTTTTGCATTAAAATTGTCCGTTTGCTGGTCTGATAGATCCTTGAGGGCATAGAATATTTTTTGAATGCTGTATCTCTAGCAATAATGATTGTTCCTGGCTCAATAAATATTTGCTGAATGGCATATATTTCGAAAGTGAGAAGAAGGAGTGAAAGGGAAAGGGATAACAAAGAGACAGAGGAGGGTCAGCACAGGGTGACATTTTGGAGGAGAGCATCTATAGAGGAGGTAGCAAATTTGGGGAAGGGGCAACTATTGTGACCGTTGGGCCTTTGGGAAGACAGGTGAGGGGAGGGTAACTTCGGATGGTTTACTGTGTGTCAAATGATCCTAGTCCCCTGCTAAATACTTAAAAATTTTTTTAAACAAAATTTTAAGTAAGCTTTTAAATATTTTTCAATATTTCTTGCAGATGGGGAGGAGGATTCTAATTTTTACTTATGTTTCTTTTGAATGGTCCTTTATGCCAAGACTGGCCATACATACTTTTAATCATGTAATCAACATTGTACGCATTGCTTAACTAATTTTTCCTCTAACCAATTTAAAATGATTTTCAATTATATTAATTTCACTGGTGGGAACATGGGATGAATGTTTCACGGTCTTCAGAGTTAGACAGATGTGCCTTAGAAACTTGACCTGTTTAAATTTTTATCTAATAATAACAGTCCAATGTTCCATCTTCGGTTGCCTGGAAAAATGTAATACTAGCACACTAAAACCTCCTTATTGACCTTTTGAGTCAGCAACAATTTGAATTTTTCTAAACCTTTTTTTTGGGTGTGTGTGTGTTGTTGGGGGAATAGGGAAGAACTATAGCTCTCTCTGTGTGTAGAACAGTTATGCTATTTGGATAATTACCTGTCAGAGACCTGGAGCTGTATTATTTCTCTGTTGTTCAAGGTGGTCAAAATAAAGAAGCAATTATGATTAAAGGATATGAAATGTATGTTGTATTACCAGTATGCTCTTTTTGAGAGGTTACCTCCATGTATGTTCAGTTATTTCTGGTTCAGCAAAGGAAGAGATTTGGGGGATGTTAGCATTTTATGGACATCTGAAAGTTCTTCAAAGATGGTTGAAAATAATTTAATTCTTACATGTCTATTTGAAAAACTCCTATTTTACAGTAGACTTGAAACCTGTAATTAAAAATATCACTTTGGGGAGAAAGTTGCTATTTTAAAATTTACATTTCTTTCAAAGGGGAATATAATCCTTATGCTTGTGAAGGACTTTTAGAGAGTGACATAGAATAACATCTGATTTAGCTGGTTACTGTCATTTGTAATTTACATTAGAGTAAATGTCTTATATAGCAAGGTACTTTGTAAAATGTATGTACTAGAGGTGCAATTTCATGAACTTATTAATAAAATATATAACTTTATTAAATAATGCATACTAAAATTAAATTTTGCCAAAATCTATTTTTGTTTTATTCATAGAATAAAGTTCAAGGTACTTCTATAAATGTTTTTAGAAAGAAACACCAAAAACCGAAATCTGGCAAATACATACCTTTGGAGATTGACAAAAAGGTAACACGTGATGTGGTGCAAGAACATCGGGCCGCACTCAGAAGGATTTGCTTTCCCAAGGAGCTTTCCAAAAGCGAGCATCTTCAGGAACCCCCACAACGAATCTCCTTCAAGGAACCACACATTTTTAGTAGAAGAGAAAGATGCAGGCCCATAGATCTAATTACAAAAGGTAAGTTTTTGGTGGAGTGAAGAAATTCAGCAAACTCACGGACAAAACTATTTGTTTCTTATGTGCCTGTAATGGAATTTTCTTTTTCAAATAATTCCCTGAACTTTAAATCTTAACAATGAAAGGTAGGGAGGCCTGATTATTAGAGCTGCTAATCTCTGGGCACCACCAGAAATTGAGATGAACCCATTCTAAAGGGAAAGAGAAATTTAGGGGAACAAAACTTGTTAGCCATGTCTTCCAGAAGTGATCTTCTTCCTAGTGAAAATCCTCAGAGACTGTTTATTTCACAGATGCTAAAGCAGCCATGGACGATAGCCCTGAATTCTGTTTTTGAGCAGGATCAATAGGATAGGCAACTTACTCGTGAGCGTGTTTCCTCAAAACACTAAAAAGATTTTTGGAAGCTATAGAGTTTTCCCTTAAAAGAAATTGTAAAGGTTTATCCTCTATCAGTAACATGGTAGGTGTAAATTAGAGATCGCTTTAAGCAAAGTGATATTGTTTTCCTGAAAATAATGGCTTGAATACATGACTGCTTATAATACATTTCTAGTATAGCTTTCACAGCCTCATCTTATTTTTTTCCTCTTACGTTATTTCTAAAGATGTTTATTTATTCATACACTCATTTGTATTTTTCCTATTCAACAAAGAATGACTGCTCTGTGCCAGGCACTAAGTTAAGAGCTGGAGAAACAGCAATTAAAAGGCTCAGAGAGTAATGGTGAGGATAAACACAGGGTAATTTCTTACTATACAGTGTAACAGTTGCTGTAAGAGGGTGAGTGTGAAGCATTATGGAAACACTGAGGAGCAACCAACCAAAGGCCAGAAGAGATTTCTCCTGAAAATTTATCAGAAGAGATCTCTTTAGAACTGGGTTTTCAGGAGAAGTAGGATGGAAACAGAAGATGCCATTCTGAGTCGCAGGAACAAAATGTATTAAAGCTCTGAAGGATGTAAGAATATGATATATTTTGGGAAGGGAGAGATGTGGTAGGAAATAAATTTTGGAAGATGGGTGGGCTAGAGTTTGAAGGGAATATAATAGTAGACCTAGAATTTGAACTTATGTTTAATGGAAAGACATGATGATTTCAAAGCTGTAGGTGGGGGAAGAGGTGAGGTATAATCAGATCTTTCTGTTAGAAAAATAAAACTGGCAGCAGAAACTGTAGAGAGAGTGATGACAGAGAGCTAAGTGAGGAGGCTGTCCAGGTGAGAGATGACAGGGCCTAAATTAGGGCAGTAGGGAAGCATAAAGTGTGGAGGAGGGCTGTTCCATCAGCATTTCTCAAAGCATGCTCTTCAGAATGTTAGTCCTGAGTGATTCAGTGACCTGACAAAGGGTTCTTTGGTTAGAAACATTTAAATAAAATACACGTTATATTCCTTATTGGAGATTCGTATTGATTATCAATATATTGAAAGGTCTAGGAAATACTGCAGAAAAGAAATCTGTTTACTGTTTTTAACCTTGCTACCCCCAGTTCATTTGGCCAAAGAACCCCCATTTTTTTTCCACATTATACCAGTTAATGTCCTTGAGACTAGTGTTCTTTTTAATACATTTTGATAAATTCAGAATTAGTGGATTATTTTAGGATGAATTAACTGGTTTTTGAAAAATCAACTGATGTGTAATGAAAATGAAGATGATAAGATATTGAGGCTTCTAGACTGAGAAACTGGACAAAAATCCTTAGGATGGGGTAGAAATTTAGAGACTATCTCAGTCTGTTCTTGCTGCTATAACAAAATGCCTGAATAATTTATAAACAGACTAAATTTATTTCTCATAGTTATGGAAGCGGGAAATCCAAGATCAAGGTACTAACTAGCATGTGGTTTTGTGAGGGTCCAGTCTCTGCTTCCAAGATGGCACCTTGAATGCTCTGTCCTCTCGATGGGACAAAAGCTGTGTCTTCACATGGTGGAAGGGATGGAAGGGAAAAGGGCTAGCAGCTCTCTGAAACCTCTCTTATTAGGACATTAATTTCCTTTATGAGGGTGAAGCCCTCATAACTTAATCACTTCCTCAAAGGTCCTATCTCTTAATACTATCACATTGGATCTTAGGTTCCAACATGAATATTGGAGACATACAAACATTTGAAGCATAATAAGGGGAGGAGCAGATTTTGGACAAGTGGGGAAAGGGATGGGGGAAAATAACGAATTCAGTTTTAGACCTGTTAAGTAGACACACATGTGGAGATAGCCATTAGGAAGTTGGAAAAGGAGACCTAGCACTTGAGAGGTACGTGAAGATTGAAGATAGATGTGAGGGATCACTACCGTACTGAAATTGTGGGGCTCATGCATTTCTTCACCTAACATTTGTTTAATTTAACATGTGAGGTATGAGAGACAAAAGATATGCTGCTTCCCTTCAAGAAATTCAAATTTGATGTATATAGTTTTTGCAGTGGCATTGAAGGACAATAAATAGACAATTATAGTATGACTCATACTGTAATAGAAAGTAACTCTACTGCTTTAAAGTGAATAGGAGGATATCTGATTCAGATTTAGGTGTCAGGAATAGATTCTCAGGAAATTTAAAGTCTTTGGTAAATTTTGAAAGATAAATAAGTGTTAACTCAAAAGAGAAAGAAAATTCTATCTAGCTAGAGGGCCTAGCATCTACCTGACAGTGGATCTCTGAGAAAGTGATTATGATGTTTTTGACAGAATTAAAATGATTTTACATGACTAGAACATGAGGATTGGGGAGTGATTACAGATAACAGACTAGATACTGAACAACACTGAATTTTAACCTAAAAGTTATGAGAACAATTTAAATGTTTTAAAGAGAAGTTGCAGTGATAATATTTGCATTTTAGCATGTTTACTGGCTGTAGAGATGGGGTATGATGGATTTTAGATGCATAGAGACCAATAAGGAGATAGTAATTCACACGGGGAAAGACAACTTAAATGAAGGTAGTAACACTGGGGATAGTGTTGGGAGAGATTTTACACACATTAGAAAGGTAGAGTTATTTAAACTTGGTCAACAATAAAGTAAAGCATAAGACACAGGGAAGAGCTGTGGTAGTGGGTTAGTGGTTTACACTAAGTGGCAGCATGAAGCCAGGTATAGCAAATTAGAAGGTTGGAGATGCATCTTATATAATGGTAAAAACTGCCACCACCAATAAGTTGGAATCTAGACCATGTACCTACTGAGCTTTGTAGCTTCAGGTAAAGAAGTTGGGAAATTCATTATTAAGACATATTGCTGGTTTCTGGCTTGCTTTGGGAATTATTATAAACATGAGATAAACTGAGAAAAGTCCTGGCTAGTCTACAATTAGAAATGAATGGGCATAGAGAGATACTAGGTACTTAGGGTCTTGGTTTTGAGCAAATATCTACTAATACTTAACATTGCAGCAAAAAGCATATTAAAAGTACATCTTTTACCACACAGCCCGTTATCTCAGATACCCTCATGGCAGTCATTATTGAGAGACTAATCCAAGGGGTAAAGGAAACAAAGATGCAAAGGAGATTTTAGAACCATATATTAAAAAAAATGACTGCATCCTGGCCAGCATGGTGAAACCCTGTCTCTGCTAAAAATATAAAAATTAGCTGGGCATGGTGATACGCTCCTGTAATCCTAGCTATTTGGGAGGCTGAGGCAGGAGAATCGCTTGAACCTGGGAAGCGGAGGTTGCAGTGAGCTGAGATCGTGCCACTGCACTCCAGCCTGGCAACAGAGTGAGACTCCATTTCAAAAAAGGTAAAAAAAACAACAAAAAAAAAAACAACAAAAAAAGACTTTGAGTGTGGTTATTGTCAGGCAGAATTAACTGGAAGCAAATAGATTAAAAAGCCTAACAGATTTTTTTAGAGAATTTCATTTCCAGAGAAACCATAAACCTTGATGTAATTGAATGTTCAAAAAGTAAGATAACCTAGATTTATCAGGAAGTGGTTGACACAAGCCGTACAACCTCCAAGGAGGGTAATAGCAAGATGTGTCCAAGGAGCAAGTAAAAGGCTTCTCAGAGAGTAGATCAAGAGGCCACTGAAAAAATGAAGAGAGCGCGTCCCAGGACAAAATCATTGTCTATTCAAGGAACTTCCCCACCTCCAGGTTAGGGGGCCTTCTCAGTGACTTTCCAATAGAATTCTATAACATCTTTGGACTGGTGACTATTATGTTTACTTTCTTCCCTTTCACTAATGGAGTTTTTACTGAGGTTATCCTATACCTGCTCTATTACTGTATGCTATATGCTTTGGGGAAGATGGAGATATCTTCTGTACTTGGGTCTCATATTACTGGACCGTAAGGAGCCACATCTGAACTTGTTGGATAAAACTGCACAGCAGCTGGAGGTCCTGCTCTCTGAGCTGGATGTAGTGCCTAGGGGGAACTTTGGGTTGTCATCTTTGGGGAGAGGAAAGGTGTGTTCTGTAAAGGAACAAGAAGGAATGAATATTTAGTGTCCTAAAGAACAGACTGTAGCAGAGACGGGATAGATGCTCATCAAACTTGTATCCTTTTCTTCCTTGGTACTTGGAAAATAGATGGGGCTATGTGATAGATTTGTCTCAGTGGATTATAGCTGGAAGTGATGCACATAAAATGCACATAAGTGATTCCCATAAAAGTGTTATGTGTTCTCCTCCCAATGTGGCTCCCCACATTTTCAAGTAGGAGGACTTCTTTTCAATATTCTTAAAATAATTAAACAGTGGTAATAGTACTTTTAATATGTGTTGATTAAAAAACTTAGTTCAGATATTCAGTAAATATACAAAGCTCAGTGCAGAGAATACAAAGGAGAAAAAATGGACATAAATTGTGTCCTCGTGGAACCTGTGGTCTAGCTAGGGAAACAGATATCAATTAACAATCACATATATACAGATTGAGAGTACATCACAAGTAAATTGGACATGGACTGTGTGTCTGCAAGACTTCCCAGAGGAAATGATATTTGAGCTAAGATATAAAAGATGCATAGGAATTACTCAAAGAGTGGGAAGTTTGAGGCAATTGCAAAACCATTTTCAATGACCCAAGGTGTGGGGCACATGGAAGAACTTTCAAATAAGTGAAAAAAGAGTTAATGTGATTGCAGTTCTGAGAATCAGCTGGAGAGGAGTGAGCTGAGACTGTATAAGAACAGAACCTTTTAGTCAGTGCCGTGCTAGCACATGTTTAACAACTGGCTCTGGTGAGGGGAGGGAGGAAGTCCTGGTTTGTAGTTTTTACTGATTTCCATGGTGTAAATACTCTTAACATAGCCAATTTCAAACTACCAATAGTGGTACCACTGATTACAGGAGTTGGGAAGAGATGTACACAGTCAGCTCTCCTGAGCAGGTCTGAGCTTGCTGCAGCACACCACTGCATGCAGGCCGTGTCAAACACTTCTCATTCATCACCTGAAATCCTCTTGGGCTCATCTCTTATTCCAGGCACTGCAGCCACTGCTAGGGTTACTGGTCCTTGTTCCATACTTCCTGGACTCCTTCCTGGCTTGAGACATTCATAGGACCAGCTTCAGCTGACACATAAACAACCAGGAAGGGGGGATGAGAGCCAGTGGATAAATGTTTCCTCCCTTCTGTCCCTGGGCAGAAGGGTCTCAATAACCTTTTATAAAGCTTCTCAGAAGGTTTCGGACAGTTAAGCAACCAGTATCTTATAATGATGGTCAACTCAGAAAAAAATTTCACATTAGTTTTCCCTTCTTGCTTGTTTTATTTTCTCCTCCTTCATTTCTAATATCACTTTAAAAATACTGTCATAAAAATATTTTGATGGCAGAATTGTCAGTACTTGCTGAAAGATTAGGTGTGGAGTGTAAGGGAAAGACAGCATGAAGGATGACTCTTAGGCTTTAGTCCTGATGAACTGGAAGATGAGAACTGCTACTTTCTGAGATGGAGAATAGAGAGATGCGTTTTAAATGGGCAGAAACCAAGAATTGGGATATGGATATTTTAAGTTTGAGGAGGCAATTAGACATGCAAATCAAAGCATCAAATAGGTAGTCCATTATAAGTAAGTGCAGACTCATGGGAAAGGTTGGAGTCATTAATTTATAGATAATATTGTCCAGTAGACATGCCACATGAGCCACATATAATAAAAAATTTTCTAGTGGCCACTTTAAACAGTAAAAAGAAACAGGTAAAATTAATTTCTATAATATATTTGGAGCCAGGCGTGGTGACTCACACCTGTAATCCCAGCACTTTGGGAGGCCGAGGCGGACAGATCACTTGAGGGCAGGAGATCAGCCTGGCTAACATGGTGAAATGCCATCTCTACTGAAAAATACAAAAATTAGCCAGGCTTGATGGCAGGCACCTGTAATCCCAGCTACCTGGGAGGCGGAGGCTGCAGTGAGCCGAGATTGCACCACTGCACTCTAGCTGGGAGACAGAGGAAAAAAAAAGATATATAGTATCTCAGTAATTTTTACATATATATATGTAAAATTATTGAGATATTATATATTTTTCATATTAAATCTTCAAAATCCAGTGTATATTTTACTTATAGTGATGCTTAAATTGGACTAGCCACATTTCAAGTGCTCATAGCTACATATGGTAATTGGCTATCATATTGGACAACACAGGTATAGATATTATTTACAGTCATAGACTTAGATAAGATCATTGAGGAAATAAATGTAGGTAGAAAAAAAATCCAAGAACTGAGCCCTGAGAATTTCTAACACTTAGAGGGCAAGAAAAGGAGTATCCAGCAAAGGAAGCAGAAAATGAACAGGAGCCAAATCAGGGGAGTGGGAAATATATTAGTCATATTTCAATTAAGGAGTAATGCATTAGAAAGGAGCAAGGACAGCTTATCTGTTGTCCCAAGAGAAAGGCAGGGACATGAGTGCAGATGCAGGTGGATTGATAGAGCAGGTGGTGAGATTACTTCAATTTTTTTTTCAATGAAGTTAGAAGTGAGTTATTCACTTGAGGGTAGGATGGGACCGAAAGTGTTGGGGTTTTGAGGAGCAAGGAGAAGGGTGAAATAATCAAATTTGGAAAAATGTGAAAGTGAAAATATAGTTTGCTATGAAAAAATGAAATTCTTTCTTTCTTTCTTTTCTTTCTTTCTTTCTTTCTTTCTTTCTTTCTTTCTTTCTTTCTTTCTTTCTTTCTTTCTTTCTTTCTTTTAGAGGGAAGAGAAATGGTTGGGAAGTGTCACTGAGCATCAGGGAAGAAACTGTCTTTGCCTAAAGCCCTAGGGTATGTGAAGGGTAGAATAAAGGAATAGCTATTCGTTGAGAGAGCTGCTGAAAAAGCTGTCTCCTTAGGAAAATAGGATTAGTAGAACAAGAAGATAGGGGGAACATGTACAGAAGATAGCAAGAATATTAATTTAGCAAATAGAAGCTCTTGGGTTTCTTAGGGCAAATGAAGAGTTTGGGAGCTGGTTCGAGGAAGGATGAAAGATGGCAGGTCTATGGAGATTGAGGTCAGCAGTAAGAAGAGTGAGAAGACTAGTTCTGAGGGTCACTTAGAATATGTGAGTAATCCTTTCTAATGATAGTCTCTTTTGGGGGATTTTTCTCTTTAGCACTTTGTAATCATGAGGCCAAAGTGTTGGGGGTGGACAATGTAAGAGGGAAGTGAAGATTTTATCAGGAGCACAAGGAGGACAGAAATCCTCCTGAAAATCTCATTATAGACTCTGCTGAGGTCAGAGACATGCTACTAGGAACCTTTGCATGTGCCTCACTAGACAGCTCTGAAATGCTGATCTTTGAGTTTATATTTGAATTAAAATTGCAATTCATTTTTCAAAGTTTTTATCTCAAAAGGCATGTATTAGCTCTGTACTTTGGATCTATTTTTAAAGCATATTCCCAATATTCACTTCAGGGTGAATGGAAGCATGATCTAAGATATCAGTGGCATTAATCCCAGAACTTGATTAAAGTCTGTGAGATTAGAAAGAAAAGTGTGTACTGCGTGTTTAGAGTATGTAGTTTCTGCTCAGACAGCCCAGACAAATTCAGTTGCATTATCTTCCATAAACTGAATATCTTATGTGAGAATAGGCCAAAGATTCCTTGAATTTGATCCAAGGATATCAACTTAAAGAATACCCTGTAACAATTATAGTATCAAATATCCTTTGTAAATATCTTCTTTGTGCTTGCCTGTAAATACATGCCCATAGTTTTGATACAGCAGTCAGGAAAAATATGAAATTATCTTCTCTTTCTGTGTATAGATATTCTACAGTACTGCTTAACCAGTTTGTATTGTCATTCTGCTGATAATTTATGAATCTTAATTATTAAAAATTATTAAATTTTAAATTATTAGATTACTAAAATGATTGACTATTAGAAATTAGAAATTTCATGTAAAATCAATGTTTTTGTAATATATATAAAATATTAATGTTAGTTAGCATATAATACAGTATTGTCTTGTCCATGTAGTACTATATAATATATAATTTGCATTCTCTCAGGAATTAAAAATATTTACGTCTATTTTGAGTTATTTAAATTTGAAAACAGGCTCTAATTAAGCTCAACAAGATTTCATTACATCCATGTCATGCACATATATTTAGGGTTGATATGGAGTTGTTCCTTACCCAGTCTGGAAGAAGTTAAAAATATGTATGAGTGTGTGAGTTGTGAGAGTGTGTTTGAGTGTGTATGTGTGTGTTTGTGATTGTGTATATGTGTTTATGGGTGTGGGAGAGTCTCTACATATTTGTATGAGTGTACGTGTATGTGTGTCAGAGAGAGAGAGAAAGAGAGAGTGTTTATGTGTTCCTTGGTCTCCAAATCACAAATCTTTTCCTTTATATATAAAATGAGAGCATAATAAATTGTAATAATGCTTTAAAATGACTACATAGCTAGAAGGCACTGGAGAAATCTATCAGAAAAAAATGACTTTGTGCTGTGATTTTTCCTTTGCCTACAGTGGTGACAACTTACCAAATAGTTTTTTGATCAACAATGTTTATGAAACCTAATTTATATTTTAATGATTTCAGGTATATGATCATTCCTTGGTATCTGTGGGGAACTGGTTCTATGAACTCTGCAGATTCCAAAATTGGCAGATGCTCAAGTCCCTTATTTAAAATGCTGTAGTACAGAAATACAAGCATTTGAGACTACTATGAACACCTCTATGCACACAAACTAGAAAATCCATAGGAAACAGATAAATGCTTGGAAATATACAATTCTCCTAGCTTGAATCAAGAAGAAATAGAAATCCTGAACAGACCAGTAACAAGCAATGAAATTTAATCAGTAATTTAAAAAAAATCTCCCAGGAAGGAAAAAAAAAAGCACAGGCCCAGATTCATAGACAAATTCTACCAGACATCCAAAGTAGAATTGGTATCAATCCTACTGAAACTATTCCAAAATATCAAAAAGGAGGAAATCCACCCTAACTCATTCTATGAAGCCAGTATCACCCTGGTACCAAAGCCAGGAAAGGAAATAACAACAACAACAAAACTACAGACTGATATGTCTGATGAACATAGATGCAAAAATCCTCAACAAAACACTAGCAAACTGAATCCAACAGTGCATCAGAAAGATAATTCACCATGATCAAGAGGGTTTCATCCCAGGGGTGCAGGGATGGTTCAATATGTGCAAGTCAATAAGTGTGATTCACCACATAAACAGACTTAAAAACAAAAACCATATGATTATCTCAATAGATGCTGAAAAAGCATTTGAAAAAATGCAGCGTCCCTTTACAATAAAAACCCTCAACAAACTAAGAATATAAAGAATATACCTCAAAATAATAAAAGCCATATATGATAGACCCACAGCCAATAACATGCTGAACAATGAAAGGTTGAAAACATTTCTCCTAAGTACTAGAACAAGAGAGGAGTACCTGCTTACACTACTTCTATTCAACATAATACTGGAGGTCCTGGGCAGAGCAATCAGGCAAGAGAAAGAAATAAGACGCATCCAAATTAGAAAAGAGGAAGTAAAACTAATTCTGTTTGCTGATGATATGATCTTATATGTAGAAAACCCTAAAGACTCCTCCAAAAGACTCCTAGATTTGAGCAATGAATTCTGTTTAGTCTCAGTTTACTAAAACAATATACACAAATCGGTAGCACTGCTATACACCAACAATGACCAACCTGAGAATCAAATAAAGAACTCAGTCCCTTTTACAATAACTACAAGAAAAGATACCTAGCAATATACTTAACCAAGGAGGTGAAAGATCTCTACAAGAACTATAAAACACTGATGAAAGAAGTCATAAATGACAGAAATAAATAGAAAAACATCTCATGCTCATGGATTGAAAGAAACAATGTCATGGAAATGACCATACTACTCAAAACAATCCACAGACTCAATGCAATTCTGATAAAATTACTAATATCTTTTTTTTCCCACAGAATTAGAGAAAACAGTCCTAAAATTCATATGGAACCAAATAAGAGCTCAAATAGACAAAGCAATCCTAAGCAAAAAGAAAAATTCTGGAGATATCACATTACCCTATTTGAAATAATACCATAAAGCTATAGTAACAAAAACAGCATGGTACTGATGTAAAAGTAGACACACAAGTCAATAGAACAGAATAGAGGACCCAGAAACAAAGCCAAATGCTTTATAACCAACTGATCTTTGACAAAGCAGATGAAAGCATACACTGGAGAAAGGACACCCTGTTCAATAAATGGTGCTAGGAAAATTGGATACCCACATGTAGAAGAATGAAACTGGATCTCTATCACTTGCCATATGCAAAAATTAAGATAGATTAAAGACTTAAATATGAGACCCAAACCATGAAATTCTAGAAGGAAACCTAGGAAAAATTTTTCTGGACATTGGCCTAGGCAAATAATTTATGAGTAAATTCTCAAAAGAAAACTCAACAAAAACAAAAATAAATTAATGGGACCCAATTAAACTAAAAAACTGCTGTCCTGAAAAGGAAATATTCAACAGAGTAAACAGATAAACTACAGAATGGGAGAAAATGTTTGCAAACCATGCATCTGACAAAGGGCTAATATCCAGAATCTACAAGAAACTCAAACAAATCAGCAAGGAGAAGACCAAATAATCCCATTTAAAAGTTGGTAAACCACATGAACAAACATTTCGCAAAAGGAGATATACAAATGGTCAAAAAACATATGAAGAATTCTCCATATCACTAATCATCAGGGAAATGCAAATTAAAACCACAATGAGGTACCACATTACCATAGCCAGAATGGCCATTATTAAAAAGTCAAAAAACAATAGATGTTGGCACAGATGTGGTGAAAAGGGAATGCTTATGTGCTGCTGGTGGAAATGTCAACTGGTACAACCTTTATGGAAAATAGTACAGTGATTTCTCAAAGAACTAAAAGTAGATCTACCATTCAACCCAGCAATTTCACTACTGGGTATCTACGCAAAGGAAAAGAAGTCATTTTATAAAGAAGACACCTACATGCACGTGTTTATCATAGCACAATTCACAATTGCGAAGATATGGAATCAACCTAAGTGCCCATCAACTGATGAGTGGATAAAGAAAATGTGGTATATTTATACCATGAAATATTACTCAGCCATATAAAAGAACAGAATAATGTCTTTTGCAGCAACTTAGGTGGAATGGAAGGACACTATCTTAAGTGAAGTAACTCAGGAATAGAAAATAAAATACTGCATGTTCTCACTTATAAGCCTGAGCTAAGCTAAGGCTGCACAAAGGCATATAGAGTGGTATAATGGACACTGGAGACTCAGAAGGGAGGAGGGTGGGCGAGGTCTAAAGAATGAAAAACTACCTATGGATTACCATGTACACTATTTGGGTGATGGGTACACTAAAATTCAAGACTTCACCACTACACAGTTCAATTAAGCAACCAAAAACCACTTGTAGCCCTAAAGCTATTGAAATAAAAAATATAAATAAAAGAAAAAAATGAAAATGGCGTATTTGCATATAACTTAAGCACATACTCTTGTATTCTTTAAATCATATTGAGATTACTTATGATACCTAATACAGTGTAAATCCCATGTAAATAGTGGTTGTATTGTTTTTTAAATTGTATTATTTTTTATTGTGTATTTTAAAAAAATATTTTCAACCTGCCATTAGTTGAATCAGTAGATGCTGAATCTACAGAAACAGATGACCGATTATACATACAAACATGCAGCAAACATGCTAAAATGTTTTTACTCATTCCTACAAAATTACTCGGAAGAATTTAAGACTAGGAGCCATAACAATTTATAAAAAAAGTGGAAACTAGAGATTGTTTTCAATGAGATGGAAAATTATGCTGAGTTTGGTGTCACAGAATAATTTGATTTGAAGTCTTGGAATTTGAAACATACTAATATCTCTCCATGCATAAAAACAGATCCTTATTGTGAAATTTCTAAATGAGAGAATAAGTTTGAGATAATCTCTTGAGAGATTATCACACGGAGAATTTTGCAAATGCTTCTACTTTTCTTCATTTCTTCCTGGTTTAGATTGCTGTATTTCTTCTCATTTCTTGTCAGGAATTTTCTTTTGCTTGCCCTTTTGAATGCTCTTGCAGAAAGAACCTAAACAGAATTCTTAAATTAGCACATGAATAGAATTATAATTCATATCTGAATGACAAATGTCTTGAACATGCTCCTTTCTTCTTTACACTTTTTCTCTTTTTATACTGACCTGGTAAGCTCCGAAATAGAAAGATGCAAGATGAGGACTCAGAGTAAGACAGGAGACTTGTTGCTTCTGAGCAACTTGGTTTCCTGCAGTGAAGTAGCCACAAAGTTCACTAACTTTTAATGAAGTTAATAGCATCTTAAATATGAATTAATATAATTGAATAAAACTATGAATACATAGAATTAATAGTATGTTATAAATAGAAAAGATATTAAAACATTATAAGGATTTAGAAGCAATTGAAACACATTCTTTTTTACCATTTTTCTTCTGCTAACTCTGATATTATTGGCCCAGAGGGGAAATTCAGGAATAAAAAAAATCTTAGAATAGAGTGGTGACTTGCAGAGGTTTTCTGATTAAGCACATGTTTTGGAACATTAGAACATGTTTGTTCAATGTTTTGTACTTGACAAAGAACACAGGCAGAGAATTAAGAGGTTAGTCAAATGTTTTACAGTGGCCCAGGGTCATTCTGTCAGCTTTATGTGGGTGTAAATAATACCACCTCTTCTGAGGAAGTGAAATGAGAGCAGTAGCTTTCTAGAAATGGTTTTCTATTTGTAGTGCAGACCCTCCTCAGTGAACATGTGTTGGTTTTGGCTTCTCGGTATTCTTTAACCTTAGAACTGGTAACAAGATTTCAGTCTGATTTGGAAAAATACTCCTCTACTTGGAGTTCATGCAGTTTGGGTAGGACTGTTATGTCACCTGTCAGCTTTGGGCTTGTGATTCAGGCATAGCCAATGGTATTAGATTATTCTCTTGGCCACAGTGATGGGTTGAGTGATGGGGCTTAATCCAACAAGGATGATGTGAGCTTGGAGGTCACAGAAGACAGTGTGAAATTCTGGAATAAAGCCAACATGGAAGAAAGAGCTGAATGGTGGAGGGAGATGAAGTACTGATGACATTGTTTATATCTCTGAATCAAGCATTGCTGAAGATAAACTTTAGCTGGACTTTCCAGTTTATGTGAATCAGTGAATTCCTCCCTTTTGAGAAGGCAGATAGATGGTTTAGTGTCTCAGAGCATGGGATTTCAACTTCCCAGGCTCAAATCCCAGCTTTATCACTTGGTAGTTTCTTATATTTGTTTCAGATAATTTAGTTTTCTGTTGGTAGTCACTGGAGGTCTAATGGAAACACCTTTCTTTTTTCTTTTTTCTTTTTTTTTTTTTTAAGACTGACTTTTGTTCCTGTTGCCCAGGCTAGAGTGCAATGATGCAGTCTTGGGTCACTGCAACCTCCACCTCCTGGGTTCAAGTAATTCTCCTGCCTCAGCCTCCCGAGTAGCTGGGATTACAGGCATGTGCCACCACACCCAGCTAATTTTGTATTTTTAGTAGAGATGGGATTTCACCGTGTTGGCCAGGCTGGTCTCGAACTCCTGACCTCAGGTGATCTGCCCACCTCGGCCTCCCAAAGTGCTGGGATTACAGGCATGAGCCACCATGCCTGGCCTGGAAACACCTTTCTTATCCAATCATTCTTGGAAAAATTTCACTTCAGGTGTAAATAGTAGGCTGAATAATGGCCACCCAAAGATATCAGATGATAATTCCTAGAACCTGTAAATGTTTTATTTGGGAAAAAGGTCTTTGCTGATGTGATTAATATAAGAATTTTTGGGTGGGGAGACTATCTTGGATTATCTAGGTTGGCTATAAATACTGTCACAAGTGTCCTTATAAAAGAGAGGCAAAGGGAGATTACAGACAAAAGAGGAAAACACAAAGAGACCATGGAGGCAGGATTCATGTGATGTAACCACACCAGTCTGGCAGTCGCCAGAAGCTGGAAGAGGCAAGGGATGGATTTGTCCCTAGAGGCTATGAAGGAGAGCAGCCCTGCCAGGATCTTGATTCTGGACTGCTGGCCTCCAGAACTGTGAGGAAATCGTCGTTTTAAGTCACAAGCTTCTGGTAATTTGTTTTAATGGGCATATAAAACTAATACAGTATACTTCTGAAAGTACATTTCAATTCTAGACATCATTTTTCTAAAATAATTTCCTTGTCAAAAGGAGTATAGAAGTGTGATCAATAGGCTAATTGTTTCAACTTTTGTCTCTTCATTCATGTATTTATTCAGCAGCTATATTAAACTCCTACTTGAACCAGATACTGTGTACCATGGTCTGTGCCCTCATGGAACTTTCAGTTTAGCAGACATTACTTTTCTTCTCTCTTGCTTAAAAAAATACATATTTCAGGGTTTTTGAGGGGAGGGTAGGAATCAGAGTTATGGTAGCACCACCTTTTTCCTTCTGAGTTTGGAACCACTTGAATTGAGAAGTAAGACACAGGAATGGAGCAAATGAAGATCAAATGTTTATTTTATTATGGTGGAAGTTGATTAGAGAATATGGCTTTAAATAAGTGATTCCATGGTTTGTTGATCCTCTCCCAGGATTAAACTTACCCTTCCAGTTGTAGGCAGGAGGGCCTTTTACTCTCACCAAAGCCATGAACCTCTCTGTCTAGCCAGTCTTCTTTGTCTGAACTAAGAGAAAGGGCATAAATATACTCCCCATGGATACAAATTCCTATCATCAGAGGCCACCATGTTACTAACTACTTGTAGGCACCGGGGATTTGCCAATAGCATGAGGTTTACGTACCTTTTGGAGGGTTTAGGAAAGGGACAACCATAAACCGGTTATTAAAGTAATTAAGTCTTTTATTGAGTGGCACATGCATTGCCTCCTAGCAGTGTTAGGCCCGTTAGGACATTAAAAGTCTATGCCATGAAATACTTTCTGTATCAGTAATTTATATGTAGCCAAGGGACCCATAATTATTTTTGCCATACTCTGTGTAAGTTGGTCAACCTCACCCATTAACATTTGTATTACTTTAACCTTTTTCAGGCTCAATTCTTATTATTAAATGCTAATTAGTAAATCAAGCAAAGTTAACTTTAAACATTTGAGGCTGAACTTATTAAGATTTTAGTTTTCTTTGTGGGATAATAGTGTGCTGAAATTGATGTATATTTATATAAAAGAAGTTAAAATAATGGAATTATATTTTACTAATTTTGAAACGGATTTCTCAGCTATAAAGGGAAAAACAAAGTGTGTTTCTTCTATCCTCTGCTAACCACAACACAGAATAATTCTGTGTCCTCTGGTCACCAAAACGTATGGGAATTTCTCCTCACACACCAAGCAGTTCTCCAGTGGACACCAGCTTGGTGTCTTCCAATTCAATTCAAATCTGACACTATGTACCTGGAGGTAGCATCAGATCCCATAGGTTGAGGGCTTAGTCCTCAAACTGCCCGTCACTTCAGATGCTATTCTCAAGTATGAGCATCTAGAATTTCTCAACAACTGGCTATAAATTGGGGTTTCCACAACTCCCAACTCAGTTTGATGAATTTTCTCAGCTCACAGAATGCAGGGAAACACCTTACCTAAGTTTACCAATTTGTTGATAAAGGATATAATAAAAGATGTAAATGAACAGCCAGGTGAAGAGATACATAGAGTGAGGTCTGGATGGGTCCTGAGCTCAGGAGCTGTTGCTGTAAAGTTGGGATGTGCCATCCTCCTGGCACATAGTGTGCTTGCCAACCTGGAAGCTCTCCAAACTCCCATAGTTCAGGGATTTTTGTGGAGGCTTCATCACGTAGGCATGATTGATTATTAACTCAATTTCCAGCCCTTCTCTCCTTTCCAAAGAACCTAAAGGATTTTCTGATGAATTGGTTACTTGGATGTGAGAGGAAGATGACTCCAAGCTTTTGCCTTTATGTACTGTGGATGGGGTTGTCATTTACCAAACTGGGGAAGTCTTTGTGAAGAACAGGTTTGATGGGTATGAACTATTGTTCAGCTTTAGACATACAATAGCAATGGCAGCAGCAGCCCATCTGGAGCGGCTGCTGCAAAGATGCCGGCTGCAGCCGGGCAGGCTTGGCTGGGGCAACGTGCTCCATGGAGCCGCAGGGAACAGAAAACAGGTGTGAGCCCCGCCCTCTTCCGCGTTGGAGGATCTTGCCTTCTTTGGCGCAGCTGCAGCTGCCTAGCTGCAACAGCGGACCTGGACATCTCTGCTCTCTTGGGGGCCTGGGAGGCTCCACCTGCCCCCACAGGCTCAGAAATGCCTGTTCCTGCTGGCTGGCCTCTCCCAACTCTCAGTCCTCACTCCAATTTTGGAGCAAAGTTGTGGCCAAGCCCCGGCACTGTCACGACCCAGCCAAGTGTGCACATGCTCAGGGCTGTGCTGACGTGCCAGCCTCCTGCCGTCTTGGCCTCCTCCAAACTTTGGGCACCAACAAGCATGGGACGGAGGCCAAGGGGGTTGCTGAAGGCAGCTCGGTGTGGGACTGGAGGTACCCCTTGGCATGAACAGCTTGGGTGCTGTGGGTGCTGTAGATGGCAGGTTGATGGCAGCAGGAGGCAGACAGGCTCCTGGGCAGAAAGGGGCAGATCCCAGTGAAGCCTCACCTTCGAGCTGGGGATGGCCTGAAGCCTGGGGCTGGGCTGCCAGTTCTGTGGACTAGAGTGAGAACCTATGGTGCTTTTTCTGGGTCCGCCCATGGCCCACCCATAGACCAATCAGTAAGCACTTTCTCCCCAGGACTCAGCCAGACTTGGACAGAGGACAGGAAGACCTATCTGCAGATAAGAGCCACCCACTACTGGTCTCATCTCCCCTGAGGGCTGCAGAGACATTGATGTTGGGATGACCTGCCTGTGGAGAGGAATCTGCGGAGCTGAGAGGTGAGCAAATGTCTGGCCGACCTGCCTGCAGAAAGAAGCTACCCACTTCGGGTCTCCTGAGAGCTGTACTGTTGCTCAATAAAGCACCTCTTCACCTCACCCTCCAGTTGTCCACATACCTCATTCTTCCTGGACATGGGACAAGAACTCCGGACCCACCAGATGGCAGGACTGAAAGAGCTGTAACACAAACAGGGCTGAAACACGCCCCTTGCTCACCGTGTTGCAGGCCATGAGAAGGAGAGAAGAGGAAAGGAGAGAAGAGCAGCGGTCCTTCAGGGAGCCCAGACCTAGGAGCTCCCCAAGCCAGGACTGTGACACTCTCTTTGGGGCTCTGTGATTCCTGGCATCTCCAAGATTCCAGGGGTTACTATGTTCCCTGGTGGAAGCAGTGGAAGCTGCTTGCAGTATGCCTGGTATAGCTGCAGCCTTGCAGGAGTTGGTGCTGGGAGCTGGCCACCCCTCCACAGCCAGCATTACTGACTGTATGCAGTGGCTGAACCCTGTGCTCGCTAATTCATGCACCCCTTGCCACTCCATGCCTGGCTCACCCTTGGCAGGCATGGGATCTGGGCCAGTAATGTGAGCTGAGCACAGCCTGTCAGGCCAAGCAGGTGGACTTAGCACAGCAGGCCCCAGCAAAACTCAGGCAAAGGCACCACCAGCCACAGAGGTTTCTGGCTGGTGAAGTGATGCCCCAAGGATCCCATGACAGTAGTCTCTCCTTATCCATGGTTTTGTTTTCTGTGGTTTCACTTTCTGAACTTTTAGTTACGTGAAGTTAACTGTGGTCTGAAAGTATTAAATGGGAAATTCCAGAAATAAACAATTCATAAGTTTTAAATTATACATCCTTCTGAGTAGGGAGATGAAATCTTGCCCCATACCAATTAATCCCACCCAGGATAAGAATCCTCCCTGTCTCCAGCATATCCACACTATATATGTGCCCCATCCATTTAATCACTTAGTAGCTGTCTTGGTTATCAGCTTGGTTGTTGCCATATTGCAGTACTTGTATTCAAGTAACCCTTGCCTTATTTAATAATGGTCCCAAAATGCAAGAGTAGCGATGCTGGCATATTATTATAATTATTCTATTTTATTATTGTTGTTAATCTTTTACTGTGCCTAATGTGTAAATAAATTTTATCATAGGTATGTATGTATGTATAGGAACAAACATGGTACATATAGGATTTGGTACTACCCACAGTTTCAGGCATCCACTAGGGGTCTTCAATGTATCCACCCTCAGATAAGGGAGTACTACTATATAAAGTCTGAAATGTTTGTTAGATATCTAGATGGAGATATTGAATAGAGAGTTGGATATCTGGATTTGGAGTTCATGGGAAAGGACCAGTATCAGTTATCAACCTGAGATACCTCAGTTTATAGATGGTAGTTAATGCCATGAGACTATGATATAATCATGGGAGGGAGTTAGAGAAGTCTGAGTAGTAAGCTGTGGAGTATTTAGATTTTAGGGAAATAAGGAGAAACTAACAAAGAGACTGAGAAGGAGCAGCAAGTGAGGAAGAAAAAACAAAAAATGGGAGACTGAGATGTGCAGGATACTGAGTGAAGATTGTCTTCCCAGGAGCAGAGAGTGTTGGATCTACTGTGTTAGATTCTGCTTACAGATCAAGGAAGACAAAGACTTAAAATTGACATTGGGGTTAGCACTGTGGAGGTCAACGATGACCTTGACACCTACTATTTTAGTAGCGTGATCAATTCAAAAGAGAATTGAGGGAGAGAAATTAGATAAATATGGATAACTATTGCAAATAGTTATGAAGAACACAGAAATTAGGTGACTGTTGGGGGAGGTGAGATCAAGAGAGAGCACTTCTTTTTTCCCCTTATTTAAGATGGGAGAAATGTCAATATATTTTTATACTGATAGAAACAATTAGGAGGAGAGGGAAAATCACAAGTGAAGGAAGAAAAAGGAAGAATTGCTGGAACAGTATCTATAAGAAGATGAGAGTGGATGAGAGCTGTTGTAATATAAGTACAGGGGTTGGGCCTTAGATGGGAATGTAAAATATTTTCACCTGTAGTAATGAGAGGGCACATGGAGTGTATGGGAACAGATACTCTCAGGACACAGGCTTTAGAAGTTCTCTTCTGATTGCTTCTAGTTTCTCAATGAAATAGGAAGCAAAAAAAGCAGCTGAAAGTAAGGGCAGGGGGAAGTGTTAGAGGTTTAAAGAGAGAAAATATGAAATACAGACGGGAGAGTGAATGGACTGAGAAGTGGAGGATGATTACTGGATAACAGTAATGTCCACTTGGGTTAGTGTTAGTGTTATATGAGACCAGTCATGGTTTTGTTTTCTCCCATCACATTAATTATGCAGAGTACAAACACCACAGGGTGGATAGAAAGACATTTAACTAGGGCTTTGTGTTTTCTCAAACAAGATGACAAAATAAGAGGGAGGCAACAAAATCAGCCTGTGAGAGGAGTGTTCATAAGGATTGACCTTGGAATTTAAGCTGCCTGAGGTGTGAAGGTGGCAAGGGAGGGTAAAAAGGTGGTAGTATCGATGAATCACAGGGCCTGGTAGGGGGTCCAGCGTTGTTGGTGATAGGGAATAACCCGAAGAAAGGAGAAAGTGGTGATTGGAAAGTGGGATGCTTCAGAATGAGCTCATCAAGCAGCAGTGTTGTTTCAAGTAGCCTCTATGTTTTAATATTTTGTTTTAGTAGGACTTCAGTAGAAAATCCTATTATCATCTAGATTGTTAATCATCTGATATTAGTTATTTTGCTAGTGAACATTACTATTAGCAAGTCTTGGCTAGCCAGGATCTTTATAAACTTTTTGACATTTTCTCCTGATAAGGCCCCTTATTTGTATCCTGACCTAGGCAGTTAATTTGTACCAGAACATATGAGGGCAAGTTATTTTTCAGGCCAAATATTTTAAAAATAAGAAATGTTCATTATAGTCCTCTACTCCAGGGACATGGATTTCTTGGAAAGTAGCCTCCTGAGACATGAACAATCTTCCAAAATGACTGGGGGCAGAATTCAATATTCTTATTACCATTCTGGAGAGGTATTAAGTACTCCTGAAAAACACCTTCCATCAGATTGGTTTGTCTATGTACTAATCTGTACTCTATGCTAGAAAGTAAGCCTTTAGAAGGCAGAGACCTTACCAGTCTTGTTTGTATTTCCATCCTCAGTGGTTAAATAGGAAAACAGTAGGCTTCTTGAGAATTTTAAATATATTTTATAAATGCTTGTTGCATAATGAAGTGAAGTGAATATATGAGCGTAAGTGTAAATTGCTAGCCAGGTTTAAGCAAGCCAGGTGGTTTTTCAAACTGATCTATGTACCATGGAGGGGGTACTTCTGTTATGCTGATCCCTGAGTTATATCAGAAGACTGTGTGTGTATGTGTGTTGTGTGTGTGTGTGTGTGTGTGTGAACATTGACAGTATGACAGTATCTGCACAGGATAAAGAGATCAATCCTAATCACTGTCCGGTGCAAAACAGCTGTTGCCTGAGCAAGTCAGTGCCCAAGGTAGTTATTAATTTCTCTGGCCTGCATGAATGCTTCCAAAATGATTCTGTCACAGCATGTGTGTTCTGGCATTCCCTCTGAACCCTGGAATCCTGGAGCCAAGGATCTATTAGTGCCTAAAGTGTGGAATGTGAGACATTGATCATCCCTTCTCTAAGCTGGCACTGCTCTGAAGCAGCCTAAGAACCAGGGGAACAAGCCTGCTGCCAAATCCTTCTGGTTTTGGTCCCATTGCAGTTAATGAATCAAAACATTATTTTAGAGACACTTTATATTTTAAACTATTCCAGAAGCCCAGTGAGTACTCTGAATATACTTAGTGAAGATGGATCAAAAAAGCGTTTTATATGCTTACTGTAGAGGCATTCACAAAGACATATAACATGCTATCATCACATTTAACAGGTGCTCATAAGTACTACCAATGTGACTGAGTTGATGGTAGTTTCTGCCAAAGTTTCTGGTGTCCAACTATACTCAACTGCTAAGTATGGCCTTTAAGTAGCTTTCAAAAATAGACTGGAATAGCTGGTTGTAGCTCTGTAAGCAAATGACCTTTGCTTTTTTATTTTATGAAAGTTCAAAAATGTGCTTATATCTCTGCAAACTGGTTTTTGGTTTTAAAAACCCAAAAATGCTTCCACTGCTTTATTGAAAGCCAATTTATAGAGAATAGGACAGAGCAGCTAAAAAAAGTTGGCCTGTATTGAGTATCTCCTACTTATCAGTCAGTATATTAAGCCATGCATTATCAAAATCTTGCAAGATTTGCATATTATTAGTTGGATTTTACAGACAGGAAAACTCAGACTCAGAGACATGCTGAAATTGTCACCAATAAATAGTAAATGGCAGAACCAGGATTTGAATCTGAATTTAGTCTTTCTGAATCTAAAGCTTTCGCTCATTTAATTCATACAGTGTGCTACATCCTCTTTCTTGAGTAACTGGGGTATGTGGAGGAATGAGGGTCTCTCAAGTGCCTTGGGAGTATGGAAGTGACTCTTAGTCTTTTTCCAAATTATTGTATAACCTTGAGCAAGTTGCTTTTCTTCTTAGCATCTCAGTATGCCTTATAAAACTGATCTAGCCTTAGCTGCTTGGAAAAACTTTTATTTTCATGAAGAACTATAAGCTTTCAGAAGAAAGGTGGCATTTAAAGTGCCCAACATTATTCTTAGATAATAAATTATCCTATTGCCAGTTATATCCTGTAGCAATTGAGTACTTTCCTGCTTCTTCCAAAGATGTCCCCAAGTGTCTGTGTCATTTTCAGCAGGTCCTCACAGATGTGTTCTATGGATGAAGACAAAAAATGCCGGAGAGTGGTTATGGCTAAGTGATTCAGCTCTGATTTCTTGTATGGGTTAGTAGTGAAATATTGGACTACTGCTACTCCCTCCACTTTCCTCTCTGACCAAAGCTACAAAGACCTGATGAATTTCAGAAACTTCACCAGAAAAGAAATGGCACCTAAGTGTATTGTGCTATAGATTGGAGAGCTCAAGAAATTCCAGGAAACAAATATAGTTTTGCTAGTAAAAATAAATAGAGAGCTAGTGTTATACAGATATTTTAAAGGTTAGAATATTAGCTTTGGGATGAGCTTTGTCAGTCACTTTTTTATTGAGAAAATAGTGACGGTTCCTACGTCTACCTGGAGAGTCTTTCTAACAATACCACATTTATTAATGGGAGCACAGATGGTTTTCTTGAATGGGAGGAGCAACAAGAATATGGGCATGGATTGCCTGTTTCTATAAAGAAGGTGAGGGCATGATTACTTTGCTGGGCCAACAACGATGAATTGTCCAAAATGGCTATAAAGTTTGTTTTGGAGCTCCTAGACAGTTTCTTAGATAAAATTGTTCTGTGAATAGTTAGAAGTGAATAGACACTATACATTTAGAATTCTAGGACCCAATGCTGGGCCTTGGGTTTACAACTTGCAAGGCATTTCTTTGCCTGGCTTTTAAGTGAAGCCTGATTTTAATTTGTACACAGTGCTTTTGCCTTATTTAAGAAAGAAGATAATAACTAGAACCCTAATTTGCTCAGAGCTGCCTCTTACAACTGATTTTATTTACTTATAGGGCATAATTACATTTAGAAAGAGTTTTATGACATCAGCAATAAAATCAAATGAGTGTATAACTTTTCTAGTCATTTATTTCCTACAGATAATTTAATAGTCCAGACATTAAATTTGGATCATTCTTTCCCTTGAAAACAGAATGTTACTCTCAAAGAGTTGATTTTCACTGTTATAAGAGGTTGCACTCCCTTTTTGGTTGGCCTGCAAGCTTTACTTTCTTGAAACTGTAGTGAATTTTATATCTTCCTAGACTTGTTCCTGTGTTAGTTGCCCTGAAGTAAACATTCCTTCCAGGAGAAAATGTTTGCACTCCTTGCAGGAGCAGCTTCTGTGGCTGGAGAGGATGAGTAACAAGACTTTGCATTTGTGCATCCATGCTGTGAACATAGTCCAGAATGATGGTTTGTTCCTGGATGATAATGGGAATCTAATTAAATGTGCCACACTTAATAAAATCACTGCATCTACTTAGAAAGAATCTGGGATTTAGGGACTAAAGATCAAACACCAAGGTCTGGTTCTCCTGCTGAAATATCTTGGCCAAATTATTTAATATACTGGATCCTCCATTTCCTATGTTGTTAAGTGCTGATGATAAAAATAACTGCTGACTATATTGCTGTGAGGATCAAATGAGATTTTTGTGTGAAAACATAATATAAACTATAAAATACCAGACACATTAGTGATGACCCCTTGAAAGACTCAAAAGAGTATATATGCTCATACAGAAAAGCAGATGATCCTGTATCAGGGTAAAGCAGGCACAAAGTGCTTTGGTAAAAAGAGAATTTTCTGTGAAATACAGGTGGGTTACATGTTCTCTCTTCCTTTATTTCTCTTCAACCAACAGTTTGTATTTAAACCTTACTTTCATTTGGCAGAGAATCTAACGCTTAGTATGATACATTTACCTGGAGTTTATCTGAAAGCTAATGTTCTAGTTTTATGTGACCATGTTCAAGCTACGTTGATACCCAAGTACATTATGTGGTTTTAGAGTTTAGTGTTTCTTATGGCTTTAAAGAGTTAATAAAACTTTAACTACTTAATAAACTGCTATGAAACAACTGTGACACATGTTTTTGTCATCAGATATACTGGGAAGTAAAGTGTTTTAATTAGCATTGGGGCCAGGTTCTATCCTCTATTTCACCTTGATTTCTGATTTTGCAATGAGTCACAAAAACTGGTCAGCTTTACAGCCTAGAGCTTTGTAATTGGCTGCAAATGAGTCAGATTCCTGTTCTGTCTGGTTGTTAATACCATTGGCAAGTTTATGTAGATAAACAATAAAAAGAGTGCCAAATTCATTTGAGGACAAACAACATATTATAGTTTGGCAAGCATCCTTTGTCGTTTCATGTAGACTTAGTTTTAGGCATAGAAAAAATATGACTCCTAATGCAAGGTGAGAAAGTATGTCAAGATGTTTGAGATATATTACCTAAAACAAACAGTAGTATACAATGTGAGGAAAGCTAAGAGCTGGAGAGAAATAATCATGTACAAAGAGCTGTTTACCTCACTGGAAAATGATCCTAATCAGGAATTTGCATTTCTTTAAAGCCTTTCTGTTAGTGATAATATCTTTATCCCTATTTCTCAAAAGGCAATTATCACATATAATGGTTTATAATAGAAGTGCTATTGCTCTCCTAGTATTCAGCATGTAAGATTTTTTATTGGTATACTTGTCTTTTTTTTTTCTAGGCACCTGCAATTATATTTACATTCTGACAAAATATAGTAGAGGTGGCACTTAAATCTTCAAGTTCCTGTCTATGATCCTAAGCAATTTTACAGTCTTTTCAGCTTTGTTTTCTTGTAGCAATTTCAAGTGCAATTAGGGATATAAGTATAACTTGTAAAGTTTCCACTAGGAGAATATATTTTATATTTTGGTGCTGGATAACATTACAATAACTTGCTTTACAATTAGTGTAGCAGATCTGGGATCAGCTCAGGATCAGAAGAACCTTAGTAGTAAAGCTGTAAGTCTTTAGCTTGAACGTGGGAAACATTCTGACTGTGTGAAGATAAAGAAGAAAGGTGGTGAAGTACTGGCATTTGTCAGAAATGTTGAGTGGATGGCAGAGTGGGTTGTTGATGATAGTGCAGTGAATTATGCAACAGATGACAATTTGTGAGGACTGGAAGAAGGAAGATTGCAAACATCACACAAATTGTCTTCCTGGTTCTAGATGAAAATATAGAACTGTGATTATTCTACCAAGAAAAGATAATGAAATACATATGAAATACACTAATTTGCATTCACCTAACAATCATACATTTACTAAGCCTCTCCATAGGGTCTCTGAAGGGTCTGGAATTTCCCCATATTTACAAGCTAAAAAGTTAGTGCTGCCAGTTTCATGGGTATAGGCAGAAGACACAGTCAGGACTCATTAGAGACAAGAACATTATTACTTATAGTACAACATGTAGGCTGAGCTTTCCATCCATGTCAGTTTCCCCCAAGTCCACTGGAAGCAACATAGAGGGCTCAGGTAGATGCTGCATACATAGTAGATTTGTGTTAGAGTTGAGAGATGTGAGCTTGGGGAGTCTATCACTTTTAGAGCAAGCTCGCTCTTTGTCCCAGGGAGAGATGTTACTTCATTCCTCAAGGATGCCCTGAGAAAATGCCTGGATAGAGAGCAAAGAGTGTCCAGAGCCTCACATTCGTGGCAGACCCAGTATGATTTCAGGGATGCTCCGGGTCCATGGTGGATAGCCTCTTCCAACACTAAGGAACTCATATCTTATAAACAATGTGTCTATTGTAACATGCATAACAACTATACACATATATTTGCAGTTTCAAAGCATTATTATTCCCTGTTTTTAGCAAGTGAGGAAGTTGAGGCTCAGTGTATTTGAATAAGAAGCTAAAATCACAAATAAATGACATGGCAGGCACTGCAGCATAGCATTCTTAGTTCATAGCCTAATGCTACTACCATTAGCCAGTTTACCTCACTGCTAAAGAATTTTCAAGCCATGTTGGCTCCATGTTTTAGTGAGAGCTTTTCCATTACTTTATTTATTGCTCTCTACATTTCAGGAAATGAGCACTCCTTTCCTGAAGTTGTTCATCTTTGCTGTCTTTTGATTCTGTCAGTCTACTGTGTTCCTACATCTTTTCTTCCTTTAGCTTGGAAAAATCTGTTTATTTCTAAAGGCCTTTCACAAAATTCTAGGAAATAGACTCAAAACAATGAAATTGCCTGTTATCTTAGAACTGTAGAATTGTAGAAATAAAATGTACATTAGACTCACAATTTAACCATTCCACCTTCATTTTAGGAATAAAAAAGAGAGGTCCAGAGAGCCTCAGTGAATTTCCACTCAAGGTCACAGGTCTTATTAGTAGAAAAGAGAAGACCAGAACCCACTGTTTTAATATCTAAAATTCAGCATTCTTGTAATTATGCTACGTTACATCATGAAAGAAAAAGAATTAAAGGATATTGGTAGAAGCTTACTACCTTCACATTATATGTTCTCAAGTTTGGTTTAGTAACAATAGGACTTCTGTTTTACATATACAAGATAATACTTAGCTATCAAAATAACAGAATTATAATTCCTTATAAGTCATGAGTTCCAAACTCAAATGCTCTTCTAAGATCAGCAGGTAACATCAATGTGTGAAATAGCTGATGTGATCAATGGAAGGAATGGAGTCTATGGCAATCTAGAGAAAGCACAGCCATCTAGACACACTCTGATTTAACATTTCCTAAATACCACATGCCCCCCAAATCCATGTCTGCCTCTGGCTTTGACCTTCTTGCTGCCATTTTGCAATACCTTACCTGAATAGTGTGGTTTTAAAAGATTTTTTTATATCCTTAAATGTGATTTTTGTCACATAGACTTTCAGAGCTAAATGGGATATTAATTATCAGCTGCTCTAACCCATCATTATGCTGAAATGGAAATAAAGAAGATTCAGTGATATGCTGAAGTCCACAAAGCTAGTTTGTCACACGAATTGTGACTAGAAGTAGATTTGCATACTCCTAGTCCACTGTTTTTTCTACTTTATCTTGAAACTTTTTTAAAAAAGAATATCCTATTTTGCAATGAAAGCAATGGGAAAATTAGATTTGACATGTAGCAGTGTATTTTGTACATGACTTCTGGAGAACCAATTAATAATTACTTATTGAGTACTGTATATTACCAAGTTACATGGGGCATACAAAGATATAGAATTTTTTTTTTTATTTGTGTCTTCTCCAGTTGGGAAGTCAAAACTAATATAGGAGAATAACTAAATGCTACAATCTTTGGCATTGACTTTAAATATAATAAAACTTCAGAAAGAACAGAAAGTATTGGTGACTGAAAGCCTTAACTCTCCATAACCCAACAATTATTTTTAGTAGCATATTTTTAAAACCTTCTTTCATGACCAAAGGAATACTATGATATTTACTAGAAGGTGCCAGTACTAGAATTATGTGTGTGCAGGTATATGTGTGCTAGAGAGATACTGAATTCGAATCTTTGCTATTCATTATTTATGTTAAATTATAATTTTTGCCTATTGATATCTTAAATATCTCCTTGGGCCTATTTTGACGTTTATGGCAAGTAGGAAAATGGATATAAAAGGTATGCCAACTCAAGTCGTGCTGTAATGGAGAGAGATACCTACCCTCTGATGGAGGTGTTATTAGAAACACCAGTTAAAAAAATAATGCCACAACTATTGCTGTCTATGCCTTTTGACTTATGTTTTCTTTTTACTGGTATTAAAGTTCCGTTTTTGTACCCTGTCATGCTATAGTCAGCCCTACTCTAATAGTTGTATCCTGGTAGAAAATTTTACTCCTATGCCTATTGTATTAGGGCTCTCCAGAGCCCTAATTTTTATATATTTTTATAAATATATAAAAAGAAACAGTAGGATATATATGTTTCTTTTTATATATTTATAATATATAAATATATTTTATTTTTATATATTTTTATATATTTATAATATGTATAATATAGATATATATGATTTATTATGGGAATTATATCATTAGCATGTGATTATGGAGGCTGAGAAGTCCCACCATATGCTGTTTGCAAGCTGGAGAACCAGGAAAGCTGGTGTTGTAAGTCCAAGTCTGAAGGCCTTAGAACCAGGGGTGTAAGTTCTGGAGTCAGAGTCCAAAGGCTTCAGAATGTCTAAGGGCAGCTCTCATGTCTAAGGGCAAAAGAAGATGAACATTCCAACTCTAGAAGAAAGAATTTGCCCTTCTTCTGCCTTTTTGCTTTATTTGACTACTTGATGGACTGAAGTTGCCTATCCATGTTCATGAGGATGGATCTTCTTTATCCAGTCTACCGATTCAAATGTAAATATTTTCTGGAAACATCCTCACAGACACACACAGTAATAATGTTTTCTAGCTATCTGGGCATCCCTTAGCTCAATCAAGTTGACACATAAAATTAATCATCACACCTGCTTTGCAACTTTGTTGGCATTCTTGGCAGATTTATCTCTTCTGCCTCTCTTTTTTCCATCTCATATGCTCAGCCTTATTACTCTGTCCGGAGAACTTTTCCTTCATAAGTACCCTGAAATTAATCCTAATCTAGGGGTCAGAAAACGTTTTCTGTAAAGGGTGAGATAGTAAATATTTTTGGCTTTGTGGGCCGTATGATCTCTGTCACAATTATTCATATCTTTGTGGCAAGGAAGTGGCCAGAAGCAATTGGTAAACAAGTTGGTTGGCTGTGTACCAATAAAGCTTTATTTGCAAAAATAAGCGATGGGCTGGATTAGGCCCAGACCGTGGTTTGCCAATCCCTGTTCTAACCCATTGGTATCATATGGGGAGTGTTTATTCCAGGGGTTGAGCAAGATGATACATGATTGTGTAGGAAGAAGCTTCTATTTATATTTTTTCTATATCTTCTGAATACAGTGTGTATTTCAGTGTTAGTTTTATAGTGTATGTGATATGTTAATAAAGTAAAATAGGAATATAGTTTATAATAAGATAAATAATGTTAAGACAAGCAATAAGATAAATTACTTTACATATATTGGGGTAGCTGGTGAAAATTTTTTTTAGTGATAGCAGTATGCAAAAAAGATTAGAAAATTGGAGGCTCCTGCTCCACCTTTTCACACTTTTCACAAAGACCATACATTTGGAATATATCACTCCTGTGCTTGTATAAGTGAAAGGAATTCTTAGTATACGGAGCAGTGAGTATGAGATGTGAAATAGTGAAAGGGTTCTAGAGAACGTTAGAACCTTATTAATTCTCACTGTCTTTACTGTTCTAACAGTTTTTGGGGAAACTGTCTCAGCTACTAAGCATTTGACCATTAGTTCATTTATCCCTTTAGTAGTAATGATTTTCCCTTTGACAGCCACAAGAATATTCTGAATTACTGCTTTCTACATATTGTTAAAATAAATTCTTATTCTGTATAAGATACTATTCTCTAATTTTATTGATGGCTCAGACCATGTATTTTATATATTTTATAGCTTTTGTTAACCCTGCAGTGTCTGACAGTATGTTTGATATGCAAAGAGCAACATGCTCATAACTAAATAAAAAGTAAACAGGGTAGCCTGAAAGCCCTATTGGTCTGTATAGAGACCATAGTTCAAGATGTTGGCCTATTGTCTGTACCAACACTTCCCAACCATTTTTTTTGAAAGTTATGATAGTTATGAGATTTTGTGTGTATTTTTTATCCATTCTTCCTAGCCCTCCTCCAAACAATCTACTCCTAAACATGCCACTGGAAGTACTAATTTTAATGTTAACATGAATAAGAATTAATTGATTTTAAGAACTTTTTTGTTAATTCCATAAACCCATTTGATATAGTTTTAGTACCTTTGGGCTATTGTAAATCTAGAGCAGAATGTCTCTGCTTTCTAGTAGAGTACTTTTATTCTTGTACTAAAGAAGTTGTATGAATTATCTGTGGCTGCTAAACATTTAAGTATGTATGCATTTAAAGAGAAAGTTGCAAATGTAAAATATAATGAAGACAGTTTTGCACATTTGGTGTGGCCTTGTCAACTTAGCATTTGGATTAAGTTGATAACACAAAGCAAGCTATGTTAGTATACCGTCTTGATCAGCTTTTCTTACGTGCATTTTGTGGCAGGTTGGCTGTCCCACACACACATTTGCAGAATTACTCTGATTTCTTGTCAGAATATTTGAAACTCAAGTAGGCCTTTTGAACCTTTACCAGTGCTGTCAACATGTTAGCATAATTAGTCATTATTTGTTTCTCTGTTAAGAGCAGGATCCCTCAGATAAAAAAGTTACTCTCTTACTTTCCAGTAATTAGTTGTAATCTTTCAGATAGCCAAAATTGTAAGTATAAATTCCCTCTTCCTAAGATGGAAAAATTCTTTTAAATTGTCTGAGGAAAATAATTTCAGATACTAAAATCTTATTCAGAGCATGCCTAAAAATGTCACTATGAGTTTCCATCTGTACTTTCTTATTTCTCTTTTTGCTTTCCTTTCATGCTTACCAGTGGGTCTCAGTTTCTATTTGTATTGAAACAAACCAGACATTTGAACTTGAGGAGGCATCTTGTGAAGTTGAAAAGATAAGGAGAGGAAAAGGATGACTCTTTACTGAGTGCTTAATTTATGTCAGGTGTTTCTTCAAGACCATTCTCCTGTGTGAAAAGCTTCTTTTTATGGGTCTTAACATGTTTATTGTCATTTATTTATGTATTTGATTTTTGGTTGACTGTGGGGCAGAATAAGTTAATAAAAAATACAGGTAGTATTTAGGTGGTCAAATGCCAATGTGCTATGGGTGTGTGTGTGTGTGTGTGTGTGTGTGTGTGAAGTGAGGGAGTCATCAGTGAGTGTATAGAGGGAGAATGAAGGAAGTCGTCAGGTGTGTCATTGCTTTACAAAAATTGATGGTGACATGTGTGTCATTATTTGTAAGAGCCAGTGAATATCTTACTTAGTGTGTTATCAGTTGTAATGACTTTATATTTGTGGCAGATATAAGTCATTCTATTTTTGTTTAAATAGATTGACTTTAACACATTAAGCTGAAACATGCATTGAGATACATACATAAAAATTCACTCAATATTTATACTGGATTAGATCAAGTGACTGGATTGAGGCTCTTGGGCTTGTTATGTTGGAGCATATGGACAAGTTGTGAGGCTAGAAAAGATGTATGGTGTTTTAAATTTCCTTCTAATTATAGAATCTTATCTACATCAATAAAAGTTTATATTTAACTTTATAAGAACTGTATGGTGAGAAAAATAATTGTACTCATCCATACATCTGTAAAACATAAATTGGACTTTGATAAAAAGTAAAGTGATTCTTGATAAAGTTCTGAATGTTAATGAAACAAAAATTCCCATCTGACTCTAACCATTTTCTATTCTTGTAGTATCTTTTTTAGTGATATAGGCTGATTTTTTTGGCACCCACATATAGCAAATAACTGTGAAACATTTCAAACCTCAAAGTGACACTAAAACTGTGAAGTATGAAATGGAAGTGCCAGAGCGTGTGAGACACATTGCATAGCACTGCTCAGTAATTCAGTGTGTGCATGCAAGAGAAATGACAACACCATTGCAAGACGCAACATGATTAATGCTACAAAAAATTAAATAAATAAAAACAACCTTTATTCTCAAACACTCTCTCATGCCTTAAAGTTACCACTTTCTATGTTTAGCGGCCCTGCCCTAGTAATTACACCTCGTCCCATGCTGTGAGGAACAAAATGATACATGAATATTCTTCTTGCTATGTCAAGGTTACTAAATGGTTATAAGCAAGGACTGTGGTGTTTTAGGCTTCTCCATGAATGTTTTTGTTTTCCCCCCAACACATGAAAAAATTATTTTTGGTCATTACTTTGGTTTTTATTTCTGTCTGTCACCCACCACTAATGACTGCTCCCTTCTCAGGTTTCCTCAGACAGTATCCCAGCTGGGGTTAAATGAATTCTTTCAGTTCTCAAAATATTATTGAGGGCCTATGTTAGAGTGATCCTATAAATGTACCTGTTTCTGAGCCTCAGTTTGTATATTTGTATGCCTCATTTTTGGGAAGCATGTAAAGAGGGATTTGGGGTTATGACTAAGTCTCCTATATTCTCCAGTTCAAATACGATGGGAAAGAAAGATGAATTCTACTACAGTGTCCCTGATGATATCCTTAGTGGACTCAGGAGTCCTGCCAGGTAAAACAGATGCCGATGATTTTATGTTTCTTTTGCTCTTCACAATAAAAATATTAACAATAGTAACTGTTCTCTATTTCTTGAGTGCTCAGTACTTTCTATAAGTTGTTTATAGCTTATTTAATGCATCACAATCTAATTTATAATGGTCAGAAGTATCACTCACCAATTTTAAGAAAGAGGAAACAGAAGTTCAGAGAGGCTAAGTGACTTTCCCAAGGCAAGCGGTCAGGCAGCTGAGTCTACTGACTCAAATGCCCATGCTCCTGACTTAAGTATATCACACTCTATGGTTTGGTGCATTTCCTGAGAGAATAAATGTTTTTAATGAGTTGTTTTCAAAAATCCTTGTCCTGAAAGACATTTGCAACAGGATAGTTACCACTAGAGGTAGGTGCTCAGTAGGTACCCAGCTGTGAGCTAAAAGAGAATAGTGCTGAAGCCGTAAAGGTACCGAGAACAGCCTTCTTTTCACAGTGATGAGAGAGCCAGGGGACATGTGTGTATGTGTGGGGGGGTGACCTGATAGAGTTACATTTGAGGACATCAGGAGCTGCCCAGAGAAGAGAGTGAGAACTCAAAGCTTGGAGAACAATTACAAGGGGCCGGATTAATTGATGGACTAAAGATAGTTTAAACTTCTGGAAGTCAGCTCTTAACAAAGCTCCATGTGGGCTATCTGTGAAGGAAAGGAGTATGTCAGACCTGCTTAGATTAAGTTTTAAAATCTTTGTGTATGCCTATATGTATGCCTATCTGTCTATCTTGACAGGAAACACAGGATTTCTACATCAGAGACAGATTGTGATTGCTCAGAGCATCTTGCCTCAGTTTTCCCATGCCTCCGTCCTCTTTGGGGCAACACAATGAGGGCAGGTGTTATCTACATGAATAATGCAGTTAGTACCACAAAAAAGGAACACTGGATTTATGAATCTCAGAACTTAAGTAGGGCATTAGGCACATTTCCCCCTCCTCCGCTGCAGGGAGAGAGAGGGAAAAGAAAGAGAAAGAGATAGAGGGAAAGACAGAAGGGGAGGGAAAGCAAGTGCTTTGTAAATGCAAACACACCCAATCTGGAGACAGGTGGTGAACTAAAGGTCCCTAGGTCTATCATTCTTTGAAATGTAAGTAAATAAATGGCACAAGGGGAGGTGCCTCTAAATCTCCGTCAAGGTCTCTGTCTTTAACTTCCATGGCTTTTTTTTTTTTTTTTTTTTTTTTTTGCCACTCAAACCCCTTTTAACCCAGGTGCCAGAATTCCTTGCTCACAAAGCTCTGACTCTACAGATATGTGAAAATATTCATGGAGAATTTTCTCCTGGACTCTTGTTTTAACTTTTTTTAGGGGGAAGATCAGGATTGGCTGACTAGGGATATATGCCTCTATCTTTCCATCAGATGGACTAGAGCCCAGTAAGCCTGAGCAAAGGCTCAGATTTGATAAAGGTATTGGACTGTAGCCATATCTGTTATTGTTGGAGAGGGTAACCCGGGGAAGATCAATCTAAACACATTTCTTCTGGGCAATTTTGCTAAGCTTCTGACCATGGTATTTACTTGGTAAAAATTCACTTTTCTCACTAGTAGATAATTGGTATTATTTCCTTTTTTGGGGAAGAGTGTATACTATCTAATTTGGCAAAGACTTGATGAGCACTTTTGTATCTTATAACTGACATGGGAGAAAATTGTTGATAGAGAAGTTTTGGTCATGGAAATATAAAGCACAATATAACTTTGCATTTTGTTTTCAATATGTTGTGCTATTACTAAAAGTTTACATATTTGAGATAATATTTTCATATCATTTTATCTTATGGCACTCATAGTCTTATACTGTATGACGTTATGTGTCTGCCTTATCTGTTGTACAGACCATAATATCATGTTATTAAAATTCATATCTTTATAATCATCAACATCACTAATTTTATTGAGTACTTACTATGTACCAGGCCTTGTGCTAAAGACTTTGCATGTATCATTTACACAATCCTTATGGCAATCTTTTATCCTTATATACTTTTTTACAAAAGACGAAGCTGAGCTCAGATGTGATACAACTTGTTGAGGGTCATACCGGTGATAAATTGTAAAGTTCATATTTATACTTACTTAAGTCTGTCTGCTCTCTTAACCACTTTTCTGAATTATCTCTCATAATTAATGCAATATATTTACCTGGAGGATAATATTTAAATTCCTGAAATATATAAGGTTAGCATAAAGACATTGAATTGGTTTTCATTACATTGTCTTTATTAGAGTTGTGCAAACTTCATCTTACTTTTCATTACTATCATGTTTTTAGATTTCTGAAAATAGTTACGTTTTTGTAGTACATTTTGCACTATTGCTACACACATTGAAGTTTCGTGGTGAAGTTAAATTGCACTGACAAAACATGGATTAACTTTCAACTCTTCTGCTAACATCGTAGAGAACTTTATATTCTTAAGCATTTAATTCAGCTCTGCCCTCAGTTCTTGGCTGAGTTTCATTCATTTATTCAGCAAACATTTATTGGGTGCCTAATATATGCTAGGCCAGTCACTGAGATATTTGTTCAATCAACATTATGAACAATATTATGGGATTATGGGATTATGAAATATAAAATTTGCTATTACGGGATTATGAAATGTAAACTTTGCTAAGTGGAAATGATGTTTCCTTTTTTTCCCCCTATAACCTCCATGGTCCCTAACACATGGCTAAAAAGAATAGTCAATAACAACTTATTAGTTAAATGATCTTATTGAATTGAGGATGATAATTATTTACATGAAGGTAGAGTAGGAAAAAAATCTATATAATGAAGTACAAAGTATTCAGACAACCCGTCTAGCACAGATGTCTTTATTCCCCTTCCTTACATCAAATCTGAAATTCATTATATCTGTACCTAGTAAACACACTAATAAATTATTTCATTTATCCAATTAATATTTATTGGGCTTCTGATTTATAATGCTATATGTGAGTTAGAAAGAGAATAAGAATGTTTCCATTCTTAAAGAACTCATAACATACCAGGGGAAATTCATTTATGCAATAAGTATTTATTGAACATCTATTATATGCCAGGCATTCTTCTTGACATTGATGATATAGTTGTGAATAAGTGAAGCTTACATTCTGCTGGCAGTAGATAGGCAAAATGCAATTAAGGAGCAAACAAATAAGATAATGACAAAAAGTGATAATCACAATGAAGGCAATAGAATGATTTAATAGACTAACCATAGGGACAAATTTTAGATGCAAATGCCATGAATGCCTGTCTTAGGAACTTATATATTTGATTTGAGATCTGAAGGACAAGAAGGACCAATGGTGTGCTGGTAAATTTGTTCTGCAGGGGGCAAAAAAGCCTGATTTATGGCACGTCCTGACTCCCAGGGTATAAATATTCTCACCCTGGCTGATTTCAGGCTACCAGACATTTAATCTGGATTGCAAAATTCCTTATAATTAACAATCAACTCTTTTTTTTTAACTCTGAAATGACTTTATTTTTTTATTATGCTTTAAGTTCTAGGGTACAAGTGCACAACATGCAGGTTTGTTACATATGTATACATGTGCCATTAATGGGTGCAGCACAACAATCAACTCTTGAATACGGGTACAAATCAGCCCTGAGGAGGAACAGACCTTGACTTATTCAAGGTCCTGAAGGGAAACATTGTGGCTGCAGTGTAATAGCAGATAAAATGATAGTGATGTGAAATCAGCTGAGAGAGAGATAGGCATAAGTTAGATAATGTATGGCCCTGTAGGTAATGGCAAAGAATTGATTTATTTAAGAGTGGTAGAAAGTCATTGAATGATTTAAAGACGAATGTTATGATCAGATTTCTATTTTTAAAAGATATGCAGGCCTCTATTCTCTAGGATGGACCAGAGAAAGTGATTTTTCAATCTAGGAAAGAGATAATGATGGCTTAGATTGGGTTATTGTTCCACCTTTCCTTTCCTCCTCCACCTTGGTTTGGAGTATATTTTCTTGCTTCACTAAATTTGAGATTGACCCTATCTTGTTTTGGCTAATGGAAGATGAGAAGCCATGATGCAGACAATGACTTTAAATGTACATAGTAGTTTATCTTGTCTCTTACACTTTTTTGATCTACCAAGAAAAGACCATGCCCCAGGTAGTGGCACCTATCTAGCCTGATGCGTCTAAGCCAGCTGACTCATAGCCTGAAGCAGAACTGCTCTGGCTAACTCAAAGGACCATAAGCAAGAGACATCTAAACTTATTAACTGCATTAAAATGTCTCTTTAATGGAAGAGTTCCATTAAATAGATTATATTTGAGATACGAATTAATGCATACATAAGTCTGAAATTTTGAGGAGAGATGTGGGCTGGAGAATAAAGTTTTGGTGTCTTTGGTGTATGAACAGTATTTAAAGCCATGGATGGAACTGGATGAAATTTCCTAAGGAATAAGTGAAGTTAACATAAACAAAAAGGCTGGCTTAAGACACAGGCTGAAGACACTTCATTCATTGGAGGTCTGATAGAAGAGGGAGAGTCAGCAAAAGAGATTGACAATTGACAAGGAGAAGCAGCATCATAGGAGGAAATCTAGGAGAAATTTTTGGAATCTTTTCATAAAAGAAAATCATTATCATTGAATGCTGCAGTAAAGGTTCAGCAAAAAGCTGACAAATACTTGTTCATTGGGTGTGCTACCATGGAAGTCATTGTATCTTTGATGAGAGCAGTTTCCACAGAGCAACCACTGTACAAGGTAGATTGGGAGTGTAGCGACGAAAAAATGGGGTGAGAAAGAGCAAACAATATATGCAGACAACCAGTCTAAACATTTTGTTATGAAGTGTGGAGAAACTGAACAATAGGAAGAGAAAGTTTGCGTTTCAAGTGCTAGCTATGATTATGACTGCATTAAGTAGTAATCTAAGTTAAAAATCTTTCATTTGACTTTTTGCAATTCTTTTACCCATCTCACTTACTATTTAGCCCAAACCTTCACAACCATTAACAAATCTCAGCCCGCTTCCCTCAGTAAATGACCTTACCTCCTACTTCATAGAGAAAATAAAGGTCTTCATGGCGAACTCACTGGAAACTTATTAATAGCCACCCAAAATCTTGTCTATGGTTTTAGAAGATGCCTCTTCAGGTATGAATTCTATCCCATTCTTTCTGTTTTCTGCCAGGAACCTATCTCATCTATTATGTATTATTTGCCCTCTCTTATGTCTCCATCTCTCCTTTCCTATAACCTATAAGCATACTAAAGTTTCTCTCATATTAAAAATATATTGACACTATAATTTACTTTCTCAAACTTGTGTTTCTGTGGTGATCATTTCATTGCTGTCTGTTTCTTCAAACCACATAACTCTTGAAAAGGGAGTCTGCATTTATTACCTCAATAACATTATTCCTTCAACCCAAAGAAATCTTGCTTCTACTTCCATTAAATTGTCCAATGACCTCCCAATTACAAAAGCTGAAGGGTACATTTCATTCCTCGTTTTAAATTCATGAGATAATGAAAATAAAGTTTCATAGCGCTGTATTTGGAATTATGTAATTATTTGTAGTTAATTTCATTCCTAAGAATGTTAACTTCATAATCTCTGGGTTCTTTTTTGCATTTCTAGTGCCTAGCAGACTGCCTGTCACATTGTAGGTATTCAGTAAATATTTGTTGAATGAATGATTGAATAAATGGATGGATGCATAAAAACACAATGTCTGTCCTCAAGAAACCGTCAGAGTTCACAGTCTAGTGAGGAATTGGCATTCTATATAACACACATGTGCTTGAAATTCCAACAGTAGAAAATTATATGACATCTACCCAGCCCACACACTAGAATGTGAAATGTCAGTAAATTGCAATCTGTCATTCTTGACTAATGAATCTGTCTATAAATTTGAAACTTTAAAATTTTTAAGTTTCATTATAATTCATATGAAATTAAATAAAATTTAAATAGTGGGTCTTAAAAAGAGAGAAAGGTGAGAAAACCATTTTATGATTATTCAGTGTACAAAATATAAAATCTCTCATTGTTCGAATGAAAACGATTTTACCAGCCTGAAGCACTTTCACAGTAGTAAGTTTTGTGTAGAAGAGACCTTAAAGCTCTTCAAGCCCAACTATTTTCACAACATAAAATCCCCTCTACAGTGTTCTTCTGAAATTTTCTGCTAACAGATATCTGTGATGAGGAACACACTCCCTTTTCTGACACTGAATTTCCAGTTTGCTTGAGCTTTAAATTATAGAAAACTAGTTTCCAGTAATACATTGGTTCAGTTTAACTATTTAACATAGACGATTTTTACAATCTGAAATAGAGATGCTGTTTTTTGTGTGTGTGTGTGTGGAAGGAGGGGGAGAAATAGGGATTCTTTATGAAGGTCAGGAGAACAGTGGGAATTAGTGGAAGTATGTATATATTATCTACGGTATCTGAGAAAGTATCCGAGAAAGTAATGGAAAGAAATTAATACCCCGTCTCTACTAAAAATACAAAAAATTAGCCGGGCGTAGTGGCGGGCGCCTGTAGTCCCAGCTACTTGGGAGGCTGAGGCAGGAGAATGGCGTGAACCCGGGAGGCGGAGCTTGCAGTGAGCCGAGATCCCGCCACTGCACTCCAGCCTGGGCGACAGAGCGAGACTCCGTCTCAAAAAAAAAAAAAAAAAAAAAAAAGAAATTAATCCATGGCACTGGCAAACGTAAAAGTGATACTGAAAAATCTATGTAACTGAATAAGAGGTATTAAATGTCTTATTTATTGATTCTTATAACAAATTATTTATTGATTGATTCTTATAACAAATGTTTGTTGAATGTGCTGGGTATTATAAGGAAGTGCTGAGGATTCAAGGGAAATAAGTCCCAGTCCACATGATCAGAGAGTTTACAGATTAGTAAAGGGATGGTGGGCCAACCAAACAATGAGTGCTGCAAATTGTTTCAATGTTAAGATAGATTAGAGAATATCCCTTGTGCTGAGTCTTGAAATGACTAGCAAAATGGGGAACAATTAAATTAACAAGTTGATTTATCAGGTGGATATAAGACATTGCTCCTAAGAATTAAATAATATACACTATTTTCAGACAAATATGGAGCATTATGAAAACTGACTACACAATGGTATATAAAATAGGAGTCAACAAATTTCAAACAATTAGAATTATACAAAACCTGTTCTCTGACTACTGTGATGTTAAATTAGAAAACAATAACACAATGATAATTTAAAATTCCATAATTTGGAAATGAAAGATTATTTATGGAAAGTATGGAGGATGGGTTAGAGTTTCATGGTTGGATTCAGGAATCCAAGTGGAGAAGCTGCTAATGTACCAGATGAAAGATGATAAAGGTCTGAATTGAGAGAGTATGAGTGGGAAAGGATGGAAGGGATTTAATGACTCTATTAGGGGATTGAGGGAGAGTGAATAGTGGAGATGACTTTCGGGCTTATGGATGGACAGTAGTGTCGTTATGTGTGAGAGGGACATGTTGATTGAGACAGAGATAGTCGGCTATTCAAATTTGGATCTCAAGAGTGGTCTAAGCAAGATATATGGATTTGTGCACATTGAAGTGCTAAATATAGCCAAGGTCATGGACCATATCATTCAAGTAAAGGGTTAGAAGGTAGCCAAGGAAAGAAATAGCTTTGGGGAACACACAATAGCTGGAGGTGGTCAAAGCAAAATGAGCCCATGAAGGAGAAAGGCAAAATTGTCAGAAGTGAATGAAATTGAATGGATGATTGATTTCAGATGAACAAATGATTGAGCTCAGGTGAATGAATAATTCCAGCTGGACTCTGAGGAGCACATAGTAAGTAGTGCTAGAGACTAGAGTCTTTTGGTTGGGAGTTTTTGTTGTTGTTTTTCTTTTTTGCCTGTCAGCTCATACCTAAGTTGGCAGTTTTAATGCCTTACATTCCTTTTGCTTAACTTCATTGTAAAACCTCTAAGAATTCATCACTTTACCTCTGTTTTTTTGCCCTGGTCTCCCTTTTGGTCTCTCTTTGAATGAGTATTCTAATCAGAGGTTATTTATAATTTATATTTCAGAACTGAAATTCTAGTTTGGTGGAATTGGTTTAGCTACTAGATTTTACATAAGCAATAGTTAGAAATTCAGAGATGTTATAATTGGCCTAAAGTCACACACTAAGTCTCAGTTGCCATCTAAAGGTTTATCTGCAGCAATGTTAGATTTTCATATGTTTTAATTGCCTTTTTAGAGATCTCCTTTAACTCTATATACTACTTTTTAAAAAGTATATCTGCATTTATTTTGTATGTTGGATGCAGTCCTAATATGACTTAGCTCAATGGTCTATAGAGGGCTTTTAGTTTAGCACTTAAAAGGATTATACCCAAAGTATTTAACAGTTTTTTTTCTCTAAAATAGACATATCTTTTTCTTAATTATTGTATTAACACAAGCTCATTATAAAGATTTAAAAAATACATACATATATAGGATTGAAAGGGAAAGTCCTAACAATACTACATTTTCCACTTCCTTCCAAAGATAGATACTGTTGATGGTCTTAGTTTGGTGTAATATTAGACAAGAAAGGTTGCGCTCTGTTGAGTAACAAATGAACCCTAGATTCTCTGTCACTTCATGTTTCATAAAGACTTATTTTCCCCCTACATCAATCACAGTGTGATAGACAGTTTACCTTATAGCTCCACCATTTGGTGCACAGGCTCCCTGGGGCACTGTGGCAGGGGAAGAGTGGACTTCAGCCCATGTCTGGTAGTGGCTCACACCTCATGTACTCACATCTCATTGGTTAGAGTCTAATTACATGTCCTCAAAGTAATTTTAAAGGGGTATGGAAAATATAGGGGAGCACATGGATAATTTGGTGAGTACTAATTGTCTCTGCTGTAGTGTACATTCTTCCATATCTTTCCTGTGCATTTGCAAATAAATAAACCAAGATACACATATATGTTGTATGTTTTAAGCATAGATGTGTATTTTTACAAACGTGAATTCCTCATTAGTGAAAATTTAGTTTCATAATGTTGCTTTCAAAATAATATTATCCTTAAATAATACCTTCACTTGTGAACTTCATCATATCCTTCCTAGGTATGTAGTGAACCTGTTCCCTGCTCATGTATTCAATTCCAAGTGTATTCAGATGTGAGTATCTGTAATCTCTTGATCTATATTGGCTCCTTTCCTATCTGACTTGAAAACCTCCTGCCTTGAAAAATAAAACAACAACAAAAATTTCACTAAATCCTAATGCTTTCTTTAGCTTCTGTGATTGTCTTTCTTTCATTGCAAGGTTAACTTCTTTACCATTGCTGTAAAATTTCACTCTTTATATCTCCAGATTGCCCCTCCCATCACCTTTGCCCCATCCTTTTCCTCCTTCACTTTTCTGCAGTGATTTTCACTGTTATGCTGTCCATTGAAGGTAGCAATAGTGCTTTATTAACCATTATACTCTACACTGCTCCCCTCCCAGGAGTTAGCATAGCAATTTTTACTAAGTAGATACTCTATAAATAAGTACAGTAAACAAACAGGAATATTGAGCAGCAGAGTGATTAAGAATTCAGGTTCCAGGGGCTATCTGCCTGGGTTTGAATATCATCTCTACCTATTGCTAATGGTCTAATCTTGGGGAAAATAATCACACCTCTGCTTTCATTTCCTCATCTGTAAAATGGAGATAGTAATAGTACTTAATCTATGGGATGTCTCTAAGAATAAAACATGATAATCCATATATAGCAATTAGCACATTTGGCATATGGCAAATATTTTAATGTTTCTATTTTTAAGACTCAAACTTAAAAATTCTCCTTTACCTTAATATGATATCACTTAACATACCACGTGTCTTTATATAAAGTGTGTCCTCTGAGCTTTATAGTTACCTTCTGAAGTAAACAAGGCAGAAATTACCCACTTTTACTGATGAATCCCCTGAAGTTCCAGGGGGCAGTGTAGAGCACAGTAAAAAATAATGGAGTCCTGGCTCTGTACCTTCCAGGTTAAAGGATCTTGGGAAAGTTGCTTCTCCGAGTAAACAGACTAATCACAGTACTTTACAAAAACAAAAACAGAACAAAACTGTTGAAGCTTACATGAGATAATTCACAAGGAATGCTAACCAATACCTTATAAATACAGCCTTTGCTCGGTATCCTTGGGGAACTGGTTCCAGGACTTACCCTACCTCCATCATTCCAAGATCCGAGAATGCCCAAGTTCCTGATAAAATGTGTAGTATGTATTTGCACATAATCTATGCACATTTTCCCATATGTTTTATTTCTTAAAATGTATTTACTTTTTCTATATGTTATTGGGGTATTGGTGGTATTTGGCTACAAGTTAAGTTCTTTAGTGGTAATTTGTGAGATTTTGGTGCACCCATCACCCAAGCAGTACATGCTGCACCCTATTTGTAGTCTTTTATCCCTCATCCCCCTCCCACCTTTCCCCCCAAGTCCCCAAAGTCCATTGTATCATTCTTATGCCTTTGCATCCACATGTCTTAGCTCTCACATTTCAGTGAGAACATATGATGTTTGGTTTTCCATTCCTGAGTTACTTCACTTAGAATAATAGTCTCCAATCTCATCCAGGTTGCTGCAAATGCCATTAATTCATTTCTTTTTATGGCTGAGTAATATTCCATTGTGTGTGTGTATATACATGCATACACCAGTTTCTTTATCCGCTCATTGATTGATGGGCATTTGAGTTGGTTCTATGTCTTTGCAATTGTGAATTGTGCTGCTATAAACATGCATGTGCAAGTATCTTTTTCGTATGATGACTTCTTTTCCTTTGGGTAGATACCCAGTAGTGAGATTACTGGATCAAATGGTAGTTCTACTTTTAGTTCTTTAAGGAATCCCCACACTGTTTTCCATACTGGCTGTATTAGTTTACATTCCCACCAGCAGTGTAGAAGTGTTCCCTGATCACTGCATCCATGCCAACATCTGCTGTTTTTAATTTTTTGATTATGGCTGTTCTTTCACATTGTGGTTTTGATTTGCATTTCCCTGATCATTAGTGATGTTGAGCATTTTTTCATATGTTTGTTGGGCATTTGTATATCTTCTTTTGAGAATTGTCTATTCAGGTCCTTAGCCCACTTTTTGATGGGATTTTGTATTTTTTTCTTATTGATTTGTTTGAGTTTGTTGCAGATTCTGGATATTAGTCCTTTGTCAGATGCATAGATTGTGAAGATTTTCTCCCACTCTGTGGGTTGTCTGTTTACTCTGCTGACTGTTCCTTTTGCTGTGCAAAAGTTCTTTAGTTAATTAAGTCCCAAATATTTATCTTTTTAAAATTTTTATTTTTTATTATTATACTTTAAGTTCTGGGGTACATGTGCAGAATGTGCAGGTTTGTTACATAGGTATACATGTGCCATGGTGGTTTGCTGCACCTGTCAACCCGTCATCTACATTAAGTATTTCTCCTAATGTTCTCCCATCCCCCACAGGCCCCATAGTGTGATGTTCCCCTCTCTGTGTCCATGTGTTCTTATTGTTCAACTCCCACTTATGAGTGAGAACATGCAGTGTTTGGTTTTCTGTTCCTGTGTTAATTTGGTGCAGATGATGATTTCCAGCTTCATCCATGTCCCTACAAAGGACATGGACTTATTCCTTTTTCTGGCTGCATAGTATTCCATGGTGTATATGTACCACACATTCTTTATCCAGTCTATCACTGATGGGCATTTGGGTTGGTTCCAAGTCTTTGCTATTGTGAACAGTGCCATAATAAACATAGGTGTGCATGTGTCCTTATCTTTGTTTTTATTGCATTTGCTTTTGGGTTCTTGGTTATGAAATCCTTGCCTAAGCCAATGTCTAGAAGGATTTTTCCACTGTTATCTTCTAGAATTTTTATAGTTTCAGGTCTTAGATTTAAGCCCTTAATCCACCTTGAGTTGATTTTTGTATAAGGTGAAAGATGAGGATCCAGTTTTTTTCTCCTAAATGTGGCTAGCCAATTATCCCAGCACCATTTGTTGAAAAGGGTGTCCTTTCCCCACTTTGTTTTTGTTTGCTTTGTTGAAGATCAGATGGCTGTAAATATTAGGGTTTATTTCTGGGTTCTCTCTTCTGTTCCATTGGTTTATATGCCTATTTTTATACCAGTACCATGCCGTTTTGGTGACTATGGCCTTATAGTATAGTTTGAAATCAGGTAGTCTGATGCCTCCAGATTTGTTCTTTTTGCTTAGTCTTGCTTCGGTTATGCAGGCTCTTTTTGGTTCCATATAAATTTTAGAATTGTTTTTTAAAAAATTCTGTGAAGAATGATGGTGGTATTTTGATGGGGATTGTGTTGAATTTGTAGATTGCTTTTGGCAGTATGGTCATTTTCACAATATTGATTCTACCCATCCATGAGCATGGCATGTGTTTCCATTTTTTGTGTCATGTATGATTTCTTTCAGCAGTGTTTTTTAGTTTTCCTTGTAGAGGTCTTTTGCCTCCTTGGTTAGGTATATTCTTAAGTATTTTATTTTTTGTTTGCAGCTATTGTAAAAGGGGTTGAGTTTTTGATTTGATTTTCTGCTTGGGCACTGTTGGTGTATGGAAGAGCTACTGATTTGTGTACATTAATCTTGTATCTGGAAACTTTGCTGAAATTTTTTTATCAGTTCTAGGAACTTTCTGGAGGAGTCTTTAGAGTTTTCAAGGTAAATGATCATATCTTCAGCAAACAGTGACAGTTTGACTTCCTCTTTAGAGATTTGGATGCCCTTTATTTCTTTCTCTTGTCTGATTGCTCTGGCTAGGACTTCCAGTATTACATTGAAGAGGAATGGTAAGAGTGGGCATTCTTGTCTTGTTTCAGTTCTCAGAAGGAATGCTTTCAACTTTTCCCTATTCAGTATTATGTCGGCTGTGGGTTTGTCATAGATGGCTTTTATTACATTGAGGTATGTCCCTTGTATGCTGATTTTGCTGGGAGTTTTAATCATAAAGCGGTGCTGGATTTTGTCAAATGCTTTTTCTGCATCTATTGAGATGATCATGTGATTTTTGTTTTTAATTCTGTGTATGTGGTGTATCACATTTATTGACTTGCATATGTTAAACCATCCCTGCATCCCTGGTATGAAACCCACTTGATCATGGTGGCTTATCTTTTAGATATGTTGTTGGACTCAGTTAGCTAGTATTTTGTTAAGGATGTTAGCATCTATGTTCATCAGGGATATTGGTCTGTAGTTTTCTTTTTAGTTATGTCCTTTCCTGGTTTTGTTAGTAGGGTGATGCTGGCTTCATAGAATGAATTAGGGTTCACTCTTTCTCTATTTTGTGGAGTAGTGTCAGAATGATTGGCATCAATTTCTTCTCCTGTACTTTAAATCATCTCTAGATTACTTATAATACAAAATGCTATGCAAACTCTATGCAAATAGCTTTCCTACTATATTGTTTTTAAATTTATATTATTTTTATTGTATTGTATTTTTAAATTTTTTTTTTCTGAATATTGTCAATCTGTGGTTGGTTGAATCTGCAGATGCAGAACCCAAGGACACCGAAGGCCGACTGTAGTTAATCAATATTGATATTCTGTTTTCCATTTCTACAAAAATGTTATGTTCTCTGAACGTACATTTTGAATATACGTTACATAATTCAGTCTAATACGCTCTTCTTTTTGATGACATTGAGATCCATCTAGCCTGTAATTTTCTAAAGCAGAGGGTTTCGTCTCATGTGTTCTGTATCTTTTATTAATAATATATCTGAGCTAGTAGCTAGAAGGTGCTCAATAGTTACCTGATAATATTTTTGTTATAATATTTCAAACTATATATTGGTCCCATTATCTGTGGACAATAGAAAGTAATGAGTATTTTAAAAATACTTATGTAAATTTCTCTTTAGACTTGAAGAAGTAGATTTTTTAAAAAGTAGAACCTTTGCCTTTTGTGAACTTTAGTCTTACTCTATCAAATAATGAGATTTCTGGAGCACTTTGTGTTCCTATTTATAGGAACTAGAGATTTGCCAAATTATTTTAAAATAGCAGCCCCTTCTGTAAGAACTAAGCTTTGTGATGATAATGATTATAATAATACTGATATGTATAAATGAGGCTGTTTGTATTCATCGGTATATGCTATGCTGTTGCAGCCATTTCTCTGAGAGCAATCTCCTTTCTGATATATGTAGTTCATTTGCACTATAATTTTCAGTCCTAAAGTTTAGTAATTGCAAAGCATCTGAGTAGCATGGAGTGAAGAAAACTACTCAGCTGTGATTTTTAGTATCTCTGTGTTAGTAACATTTTAAAAGATTATAGCTCTTGTTATTAAAAATCTGTGATTTGCAATTGAATTTGAAAAATGCACTTACAACTTGAAAACTAATAGTATGCAATTAAAACTTTAACAAAATTTCAGGACAAGTTAAATTGGATAAAATCATGACTATTATTGAACCAGTGAGTAAAAAAATGGAGACAGCAAAGCAACAGCACTTTGAGGAGTCCAGGTAATGTATAATTAGCTAACCTATAGAAAATATATATTTTCTTCTACTTTGCCAATATTCCCTGACCAATTGTCATGGTCTCTCAAGTTTTTCTATTAACACCCCATACATGAAGCTAATTTATTGTTCCGCTTGAGTTCCTCAAAGCATATCAATTATCAAAATTTTTGTTTTCAGTTCAATTAACTTTTGAACTGGAGGATGTCTGAGTAGTTAAGTAAACCATCTGGGTTTTACAGTGCATAAGCTTGAATCCAATTTGTGGCTTTCCTGGGGAAAAAAATGCCATATTTTATGATAATATTACATAAGTTTAGAATTTTAATAACTCATCTGCAGCAATTATGGAGCAGAGTAAGTTATAATTTTCCTTTCTAAATCTAATAATTAAAGGTTAGTCTTTCTAACAGAAGGTGACACTGGTTCTACAGAACATAGTTTGAACACAGGAATTCTGAGCATTGCCTCTGCTTTCCAAAAGTGTCTGGAGATGGGTCAGTTCCTTTTCTGAATTATTGCATGAAATAGCATCACCATCTTCAAGACAACTTTAAAATTACATACACAATAGTTGGTGCTGAAGCTATAGATAGAACCTCTAAGCCCTTCAGCACATATTTGGTAAGAACATTTATACTTACAGACAGTAAATACTTCTCTGCTAAAATATATTTTTCAGTAGCTTGTTTTACAATAATTCATTGATATTATAACATGGTCAGAAATTTGGGGTAATTGGCACAGCTACAAGTTAGTTGAGGAAATGCTGGCAAGGCTATGAAGAACTTTATGGGTCTTCCAACGTTTAAGTTGTGAGCTATGTGCTTAACACTAGAAGATCCATGCTCAGGGTAACCACTTTCTTGGCTTAAGTGTCATACAATACTCAGATTTGAAAGAGTGAAATATATACACAGCCTTAATACTAAAGGTTTGGTTATACCCATGATAAGGGAAGATATTAATTACAAAGGAAAAGAAATTATTATATTGGAAATTTACTAGTTTTTATAAATTTCTTCTCTGCCTTTGAGTTACCCATTTTAACTCAAGATCCAAATTGGTCTAGCAAATTGGTAGCTCCTAAAAGAGTAGTTAATATAGCAATTTAGCCAAATTGTTTAGAATTTCAAGTCAGCTTTTACTAACTGAAAAGGTTAACTGATTTGAAAATCATTTTCAGTATCTTTAGATGAGGCTGGTAAGCCATGGCAGAATAATAATGTTTTAGGGACAAGTGAAGCACTTATTAATAAATCTGATCAGGTATAATATCTTTCAGTATAATGTCTTTCTTAAGAGAGTTGACTATTTTCCGAAGAATTGTTTCTTCTGCAACTGGTAGAAGATAAAGGTCCCTTGACACCCTAACTTCCTGTTTTTAATGAAAACATATCCTGCTTAATGAGGAAGATCAACATCCTTTGAAATTAAGAGCAAGTGCATGTACTTCCAGTGACAGCTCAGGGCATGTAAAGCCTGAGCTTCAATACACCTGGGCTGCCTTGTCTTTATTTATAGCTAGTTGATGGTGGTAACTTGTTTCCTACTTTAACAGTTAGCTTCATTTCATTAATGTTAAAAGTGTGATGGGAATGCAGGGGGAAAGACAAATAAGTGCTTTGGGACGTGGTGACTAAGGATTTTTGGAAACCTGTGCTTAACTAGACAAATAGAATGTCATTAGGCAAAAATTTTTTTTGAAATCGAGTTCACCACATAATGAAGATAAGGAAACAGCAATGAGAATATAAGCAGAAGAAAAGATAATATAATCAGTTGGGAAATTAGATATGAGATTGTTAACAATGCAGGGACAGGCTCTAGGACTAATTAGTATGAATGACCCAACTCTTTATGAAACTCCCAAAAGGTTTTTGTTCAAGTTAATTAGACCCCTGTGAGAAAAGTTGTATATAAACAACTTATAATTATCCTGAAGATGCCTTGAAAAATGCTGATTGTTAAGATGACTCTAATACTTTTGGGATGACTATTGAAATATTGGCCCAACAAAAGAAATTTCCTTGAGCAAAACATGAATATGATCAAATCTTTTAAATATATGATTTCTTCCCTTTTCTAAACTTGTCTATTTTTGACCTGTGGTGGGAAAACACAATTGAATACTGTTACAATTTCAATATAAGTTTAAGAAGGTAAAGTTCTTCAGTGTACCTTTGAATTCTAAATTCAAAGATTTCCCTACATTAAAATACTCTTTATGATGATGATAGATATGGGTTCATCCTAAATTTTAATTTCCCATCAACAAAATGCATTTATTAATCACTTATTTACTAGTGCTAATTTTTAGTTGATATTATTTGGTGCATTTGAAGTTATGACAACTGCATTTCAGTAAATGCATTCTGTAATTTAGGCAAGTGAGCCTGGATTTCTTTGCCCAGTTTTGTGATCAGTGAGTTTCCTGTGTTACATGACAATTCATGTTTAGGTTGTTCTGATCAATTTCATAACAGAATGAGGATATTATAAAATAATGATAGAATCCCTCCTGGCATTTCACATTTGTGTGAAGCAACTGCCATTTCATCTTAATGTCTGTAAAATATTTTGCTTCAGTGGTTGAATGGTCTACTTCCATTAGAATCTTTCATTAGTCAGGAACAATTGAAAATACATAATTAGTTCTAACTTGGAGATTAAATAACACTTATCCATTGACTAGATATTAGAAAGCAAAGGAAATTATGCCTGATCAATGAAATTTGACCCCATTCTTGGTGATATATAAAAACGTTATAGAATTTCAAATGGAATTTTATAAAACTGACTGCATACTCACGTCTCTCTATTTTCTCTTGATACAACTTAAGGGATACCTCAGTCCTTTGGCCAACTCTGTGGGCATGACCACATGAGTGACAGTCAAATTAATAGATCGTATCATTAGTTATTTCTTTACTATCTATTGAGTGCCTACTATGTGCCAAATGTGAATCTCTGAAGAGTCCCCTCTTTCATAGACCATGCTGCTTTCTAGGCAAATGTTTTAAAATTCTAGAAATTTATGTAAGATTTATATAATTTTCAAACCAACATTTTAATTTCTAGGCATTTATAGTAACACAAGGAAATACAGGTGCACAAATATAAATGTTCAAAGATTTTCATCCTTGTTTATAAACAACAAAAAAGCAAAACCAACAAATATATCCCACAGAAGAACACTGGTAAATAAGCGATCAGTATGTTAAAATCTATACAATGAATTTCTATGTAATGGGCCAAAATAACATGGAAATCTATGTAATGGGTCAAAATAACAATGTGCACCTTTGTACATTTATAAAGAAAGATCTCTGTGATATATTAGTGCAAAATAATAGTATAAAATTTTGCGTGCATTTATGTACACTTAAACAGAGAAAAGGAATGAAATATATTCCATATGCTAATCATGTCGAATGGAATCAGTATAAAATAGTAATATGGTTCCTGAAGTCCCACTGACTGAATTTGAGTCCTGACCCCACCCATTTCTAGCTGGAATAATCTGAACTGTATACTGCTGAACCCCTAAATGTCTTAGTTTCTTCATTTATACAATGAGCATCATAATAGTAAGTACCTACATGCTTGTTTTGAAGAATAAATCAGGTAAAACATATAAAAAGGATTAGAATAGTGCCCTAAATGCTGGCCTATAGGAAGCATTGAAGGGTTTGCAATTATTACTAAAATATCAGGGTAATAAGATTAGGGGAGATTTTTATTTTCTTTCTTTTTTTCTTACTCACATTTTCCAAAGTTTCTATGTGATACTTGACTTTATTCAGCTGTTGAGATTGAAGCTCTCTCAATCATGTTAGGAAAACATGCTACTCAAAAATCTCTTGCAAAACACTGAAGAAATAGATAGATATGATGCTTGTTCATTTTCCTGATTTTTGCTAGTTTGGGCTCATTTGGAAAGCAAATGTTCCTATTTGTTATTCGTCTCAGAACCAGCAAAATTTCGTAGTATTTTGTCTTTGTTTAATAATATTTACTCTGCAAGGCACTGAGGGAACAACAGGTGTAGTCCTGTTGACCAGAGACAAGTGGTTTTCTATGATTAGCATTTAGTCCATAACTTTAGTGTTGAAGATTTGTATTACAAAATAGGGACTATCAAATTACTTAAAGATCCAACTTAATGTTTCAGAAACAGAATGTTGGAATTACTCTATCCCTTTCCTGTCCATCTTTACTTACAACCTGGGACCTCTAACTTGGAACTTCTGAAAGAACCTGGTGAGTCTTATACATAAATGTTGGTAGCAGCACATTGATTTTCATTATTTTGCATTCATTTAAATGCAAAAACAAAGAGCTAGTATTGAACAGAGTTATTTCCTTTATTTTCATTTCAAACACTGTATCAAAGATAAGCAGATTTTGGAAACAACTACTAATAACTAGTTTTCCATGCCTTTATCTGAAATTGAGAGACTGGATTTTTAAAAATATGAATATTGCAGGTTGTAGTAAATTATAAAGACAAAATTTGTAATTTTAAAAGTTTATTTACAGTTGAGTTATTGTTGTTTTTAAAAAATACATACAATTCTTTAAAAGAGAATATAGATGATTCTTTAAAGTCCCTTAAATGTGATCGAGGAACTCTCTGGAACTTGAACTGCTTAAAGACCTAGGGGGCTATTGATTCAAAGCAACTATTTTTTAGTTTTCCCGCTTTTTAACTTGTTCCTCATGAGCTTCAGGCTGTCATTAAGGTAAAACTCTTCTTGTAAAGTAGGACTTTTATTGATTTCAGAAGAAATTTTTAAAAATTTGCTGAATAAACTCTTCCTTGGGTTCTCAAGGCACTTTTGCATATAATATCCTTTATAATTTTACCACCTTTTGTTTGGATTATTATAGAAGGAACTGAAGCATTAAGTGGAAGCTCACTTCCAAACAAATTCTATGAATCATGTTTTCATGATTCCAATCAATATTCACCAAAACTAAAATTTGTGAATATGCTGTCAAAATGTTGAAGATATGCAATAGATGTATTTTACAATTTTGATTGTTACATTGGTTCAGAGCTTAAATTCTTTTAAGGCTTTATTAGATAATTTGAGGTCCCAGGGCAATACAATAATGTATGGGTCTCAACTGATTCTAAAATTGAATATACATGTGTGGAAGTAAATGTAGGCAAATATTTATACAAGGCTAGGGTCTAATGGGTGTAATAAATAATACTCTTGAAATCTGATCTCCTTGAAAGCTGTGTTCTATAGCTCTTTACCATCAGTTAAAGTTCTACTAATTCTGTGACATTTAGAATTTATTCAGGATGATCAAAAGGTTTATGAACGCCTCAGTCTTCAAGTATCATTCACCTCACATGGGTCAGTTGTGTCATCATCTTGCAGAGGAACTTTTTAGCTCTTTGAAGGACTTGGCAATTCTCATAGCTTTAGTTTGGATGTTGAAATTCATTTAAGTCTTATTTTTCTGTATTTATGGAGCTTATATACAGGAGCTAGACCATAGTTTATTTAATGCTAAACAAGAGTAGAAAACTTTTCTAAAATATTTTAGAGAATCCTGGTTATTAGCTACAGATTATTATGAAATTGTGAATGGAAAAGGCTGGCAGAATTGGTAGTCACCCATGTGATAAGTTTTGAAATTTGCTAAAGGTTCTACCCATGCAGAAATGTTCTGCTGAATTGTGAAATGTTTATTAATTGAACCATAACTTCATAGAAGCTAAAAGACTCCTTATACTTATTCCAGTGCATGACACATACATAGTAGGTGCTAATAACCATATGTTAAATGAATGAACAAATGTAAATTAAAAAGGAAAAACCACCCAATTGAAGTATACTTCAGTATTATCTGTGCACCTGTCTCTGCACATTAGGCTAAAACTCAATAACTGTTAAAGAAAAAAAGAAATTGAGAAAATAAAATACTAGATACTATTTTTTACAGTTCTTTTTAAAAACTGATTATACATAGACTGCAGAGATACCAATCAAAATAAACAAAATGTTATGCAGTTTAGTTTATATGCTTTAAAAACAAATTGTTGAGATTATTAGTTTTATGATATTATAAGTATCTCAATACTCATATAACTTCATGGAGAATTGGAAGGTTGAATATGCTGAAAAAGTAAAAAGTTTTACAATTAAAATCATTCTTTCCAAATGCTATAGAGTAGGTGTTCTTTTTTCCTTTAAAATGAAATGTATCTTTAATCAGATAAGAATAGGGATTTTCACTGATTTGTTATTTAGGAAGTTTTTATTTTATTTTCAGCCACAACATTCTTTTATAATTACATATTTTTAAAGTAAGGCTAGAAATATCTGAAAGATTATGGCCACCAACTTATTTTGTGTAAGCTATTAGTAAAATGTGAAAAATGTTCATTTTTTTGGAATAATTTAAGAGTGGTCCACACTTTGTGTCTTTCGTGAAAAATAATGAATACTTTTTATGGTTGTTAATTTTTTTGTTCATGTTAAGGCTATAGTCTAAAAAGTCTGCACAAAAAAGCTTATTCTCCACATCATTATTATAACTCTACATAATAATTTATAGCTTCAATGAATATCTGACATAATCATTGAGGTCTATTTAACAAGATAATATATAAATAGTAAAAAATGTAGATATAGCAGTTTTCCCTGGGGTATATGGTAACCTACTGGACTCAAATTATCACCCAATTCTTTTTTTTTTACAATTCATGCATAACACATGTACATAGTTTGGTGATACACATGATTATTTAATACATTCATGTAATTTGTAAAGATCAAATCAGTTCTTGGGATGTCCATCACCATAAATATTTGTCTTCTCTTTATGACAGAACCATTTCCATTCTTCTCTTCTAGCTATTTTGAAACATGCAATAGATTATTGTAAACTGTAGTTACCCTGCTGATCTATCTAACACTAGGTCTTATTTCTTCTGGCAACCCATATATTTACATCTTATTTTCATCTTTTCTCCTCCCTGCCCTTCATGGCCTCTGATAACCACAAATCTACTCTTTGTCTTTGAGATTAACTTTTTTTTTGCTTTCACATATGAACGAGAACACACAATATTTATCTTTCTGTGCTTGGCTTACTTCACTTAACAACCTCTAGTTCCCTCCATGTTGTCACAAATGACAGGATTTCATTCTTTTTTATGGCAGAATCATATTTCATTGTGCATAATATGTGTCACATTTTCTTTACTCATCTGTTGATGGGCACATATGTTGATTCCATATTTTGTCTGTTGTGAATAGTGCTACAATAAACATGGGAATGCAGATGTCTTTTTGATACATTCATTTCCTTTTTAAAAGATATATACCCAATAGCAGAATTTCTGGATCATACGGTAGTTCTAGTTTTAGCAATTGTAAGGAAACTTCATACTGTTCTGAATAATGTCTGTACTAATTTCCATGCCCACTAACAGTGTTTAAGGTTTCTCTTTCTTCATATCATCAGCATCTTTTATTGCCTGTCTTTTTGATAGAAGCCATTTTTAACTGGGGTAATATCATACTTCATTGTAGTTTTGATTCACATGTCTCCATTGAGCATTTTTCATATGCCTATTGGCCATTCGTATGTCTTTTTTTGAAACATTGTCAATCTCTTAACAGGTCAATCTAGCTATTATTGTTGTTGCTAGATTTGTCTTTAGGACTTCATACTAGATTTATTTATTAGTGGATTGCATACAACAATTATATTATTATAGTATTCTGGGTTTGTCCTTGTACTTAATTTTACCAGTGGGTTTTATAACTTCCATTTTTTAAAAACACATTAGTGTCTCTTTCTTTTGGATTGAAGAACTTCCTTTAGAATGTATTGTAAGATGGGTATTGTGGTAGTGAATTACCTCCACTTTTGCTTGTCTGGGAAAGAATTTATCAGTTTTTTATATTAGAACTGTAGTTTGTTGAATACAGTATTCTTAGCTGGCAATAGATTTTCTGTTTCAGCACTTTGAAAATGTTATTCTATTTTCTCCTGGCATGTATGATTTCCATTGAGAAGTCTGTTGCCAGATTAAATGGAGCTTTTTTATGTTATTTGCTTTTTTTCTCTTGTTGCTTTTAGGATTCTTTCTTTATCCTTGACCTTTGAGGGTCTGATTATCATATGCCATGGAGTAGTCTTATTTGAGTCAAATCTGTTTGGGGTTCTCGGACCTTCCCTTACCTGGATATTTATCTTTAATCAAGTTTTGGAAAGTTTTCTGTTATTTCCTTGAATAAGCTTTCTACCCTTTGCTCTTGCTGACCTCCCTCTTAAGCACCAATAATTCTTAGATTTGGTCTTTTGAGGTAATTTTCTATATCTTTTAGGTGATCTTTCTTGCTTTTCATTCTTTTTTCTTTTTCTTCTCCATGTATTTTCAAATAGTCTGTATTTGAGCTCACTAATTCTTTGCTCTTCTTGATCCTTTCTGTTGAGAGCTTCTAATGAATTTTTCAGTTCAGCAAATATATTTATCAGTTTCTAGATTTCTGTTTAATTTAAAAAAATTATTTCAATCTCTTTGTTAAATTTCTCTAATAAGTTTTCTGGATTGTTTTCTTGTGTTATCTGGGAGATCACCAAGTTTCTTTAAAACTACTATTTTTGGTTCTTGGTCGAAGAGCTCACCAATTGCTGTTTCATTAGGGTCAGTTGCTAAATCTTTGCTTTGTATGCTTGGGGAAATCATGGTTCCCTGTTTGTGGTTGTTACTTGTGGATGTACATCTATGTCTTTGCATTGTAAGATTAATTTGGTCTTATTTAATTATTATTTTATTTATTGTTGTCTTCTCTGTCTTGCTTCTTTTATTTTTTTATTGGATATATTTGCTTATAGGTTCTTTACTGTCAGGCAACTGCCTCCTTTTCAGTTCTAGATGGCACCTTAAGCCCAGATTTGTCTCAGCTCTAGCAAGTGTTTGGAGTGCTACTCTTCCCAAGTGCAGGAAGTCCCAATGGGGATACCTCAGCAGTGGGATAGGCTGGCAAAGGTTTGTGCCCATGCTCCTGGAGTGTGATGCTGCTTAAAAGCCACTCTTATTTGGCCTTTGGCCAAGTTGTAGAGCAGTTTCCAGAGCTGGAGATAGTAGTCCTGCATCCCTACTTTGTCTCTACCTGTCCTCAGGGATATTTCTCCTTTCAGGCACTAATGATGCTTCTTATGGGCCAGGGGAGGGACAGATCTCCTGTCAGAGAACCCAAGATGGTGAATAAGCTCTTCGTTCACTTTGATCTCACTTTTCCAGTGTCAAAACAGTGATTTTGGGGAGTATTTTTTGCATACTTGGTGCCAGGAAGAATGTGGAGTGAGGCATTGTGGATGTGCCAATTTTCTTACTGCCTACATGAAGTTTTTTCACTTTTTTGTGGCCCCAAGAACTGACTTGTGTTCATAATTTTTGTGTTTGAATTCTGGTATATTTCTGGTAATAATCTTGGCACTGTATATTTGTTTATGGTTTTCTAGGGGGTTATGCTAGCTTGCTTCTCTGCTGCCATTTTGGAACTGGAGGTCCTCAATTCTTCTTTAGAATAAAGAATTATTCTTATTAAAGGAAAAAGAAAAGGATATTAGAACATAAGATATAAGGCAAGTTATGATTTCTATCCGTTTGCTTAAAAAATTATCTATCTATTTCCTTTTGAAGCCTTGCCTTTTAAAGCAGTATGGTATAGTGATTAATAGTGACAGCACTGAAGTTACTCTAATTAGGTTAGAATTCTGGCTTTGCCAGTTTCTAGCGTCAAATCTTATCCAAGTTACTTAATTGCACTGTGACTCAATTTCTTCATTGGGTAGAGGGGGGATAATACCAATTCCAACCTCAAAGTGTTTAGATAATGCTTGTCAAGTGCATAGTGTACCTCCTGGTGCTTAATAAAATTGAGCTACCATAATTAGTCGCAACTTCCTACATTCATATAAATTTTAATGCATAATATACTAAAAAACATGTTGTTTGATTACTTAGCTTTGGTCCTGTCCTAAAGGACATATTACTGTAATCACAAGACATACCCCATCACAACATTGACTGACTTTCGCTATCACATTGTGAATTCAGGAAGTGGAAGTGAGGTTTATGGTCTTGTGTAAATACAATAACTGTAGCCCTTCGTGGAGTCTGCTATTTTTGCTATTGTCACTGTTATCCTGCTAGAGACCTTGACTCTGCCTTTTGCTCTTCTATTTTGATACATTTGGTAGGTCACTCTTAAATTGATATTCCTCAAGTGTTCATTTTACTGATCATTGTAAAGCTTTTGTAAGGAAACAGACCCATGGCAGAAACAGAAACTCTTTTGTTAAGAGAAACACTTTAAGAGACTTTTTCAAAAGAAAAAAAGCTAATAATGCTCTACATAATAACCAACTCTCTGTGTGGCCTGGCGCAAACCTCTTCAAAGCTCTGGGCTTAGTTTCATCATCTGTAATCCTCAAGGAAAGAATGAAATGGCCCTCAAAGAGATAAAAAGTTAGAAAATTTCCTCTTTCTGGATGGCTGCTTCTCAGATATTAAAAACATCTCTACATAGTCATTGGCAGGAGAGAGGAGGGATCCCCTAAAGTCAGCTCCTGGCAAGATTCTTTATTTCTCTCTACTTGCCAAGTTGACAGCCTTCAGACTCTTAAGACGGATCTCATTATGTATTTAAGCTGTGTCTACCTCAGTCTCCACAAGACACCTAGGACTTCCAGGGTACCTGCGATCACTAAAACCCCACTCTATATAATTTTGTATATCTTCTTTTCTGATGTCACCCCTCAAACCTCCCACTCCTGAAATTCATCCATTATGCTCCCTGAATTCATAGCCAGCAAAAACTCAGAATCCTTAACCTCATCTGAATGTTTCCTTCCCCTTCCTGGCCTAACTGAAACCTGTGCCCTGAAGACATTTCTTCCCCTGCCACCCTTTCAGGTGGTGCTGGTTTTTTTTCCTCCCATGTCTCATACCTCTGAGACTGGTGGTGGGGTGGTTTCCTCCTTGCTCCTCATTGCTGTTTCCAAACCATTCTCCCTTTGTCTTCCCTAGCATGCTCAGCTTTGAATCTCATGTCATCAAACTATATCCTCTCCTTATAGTAATCTATTGATTTGTATCTATTCTTGCATATCTTTAAAGAAATGTAGACCCTGGATCCTTGTCAATTTCTGTAACACTAATCTTTTCATAGTTTTTGGTGATATTTATCTTGGATAGATATCATATTTTAATCCATTCACTTTTCTACTCCTTGAGCTCTTTTCCTCCCATGATTTTGCCCTCCATCATAATACATACATTCTCCAATAGTTATGGTCTAGAAATACTTCCAAATTACAACAATCTTTGTAATACTTCCAAAATCTCACTTTGAAGAGCACTACTGTTTAACCAGACCACCTATATGCTGACAATTTTTAAAATTCCTACTGGGAGCCTGAGGCTCCCGGTGGTTACAGTAGGCCCAGATATCAAGTTTTTAATTTCTTCTCTAGCTAAACAACACTCTCTTGTAATTTTATCCAGATCATGGCTTTAAGTACCGTTAATAGGCTGATGATTCCACAAGTTTATCTCCAGACTGGTTATTCTCCAAAACTCCAGCTCATGTTCAACTGCTTAATTAAGGTTTCCACCTGGATTTTTAATTTTTAATAGGCATTTCCAACCTAACATGTCAAACTCAGGAACTGTGTATGTGTTGTTCTCTCTGCCTGGAAAGGTTTTTTTCTTTGGAGATTATAGGCATCAATCCATCACTCTTTTCATGCTTCGCCCAAAGGCCTCTCTAACAGTAAGGCCATCCCTGACTACTCTGTCATAGGCATAGCCACATCCTCCAGACCTATCTACTTCTCTTTCTTTGATTTCTAGCATTTACGATATCAAGATATACTGCCTATTTTACTTATCTGGTATTGTTTGCCTCCTCCTGCTAGAATATAATCTCCATAAAGGCAGTTAGCATTGACTGATTTGTTCATACTAAATCCTTTAGAATAATGTCTGGCACATAAAAAGGGCTTACTATATTTTGTTGGATTAACTAAGATACTGGCATTTTATTTTGTAAAAGTGTTGTACCAATTATCATATTTTTTCTACTTAATGAGGAAAGTTACCTAATTTATTAGAATAAATATTTTCATCTGGCTCTAAGGAGCTCAAGTATGCTGTTTTCATTTTTAATAAAAAATACACCGGAAAAAATCATCAGTGTGTTTTTGTTTCATTGTATCTTTTTCTGAGAATATGGTGAACAACTCTGCAAAGAAAGACTTCTGAGTACAGAATACTTAATAATGCTGCTTAAATATGAAAAAATAATTTTTAAAACCTGACCAAACTGGCAAGAAAGTGTAAATAATTAAATTCAGAAAATAAAAGAAAGCTATATTACACAGGGGTTTAAAGTTCTTTAGAGTTTGCTTTCATGGCTCATACGTATTTCTGGTGGCCTAGAACTCTCCTAGGAATAAAAACAACAACAAAAAACTTAGCCTTTTTTGGAATAAGTGCGAAGTGGTTCTGAGAAGAATGTATATTCTGTTGATTTGGGGTGGAGAGTTCTGTAGATGTCTATTAGTTCCGCTTGGTGCAGAGCTGAGTTCAATTCCTGGATATCCTTGTTAACTTTCTGTCTCATTGATCTGTCTAATGTTGACAGTGGGGCGTTAAAGTCTCCCATTATTATTGTGTGGGAGTCTAAGTCTCTTTGTAGGTCTCTAAGGACTTGCTTTATGAATCTGGGTGCTCCTGTATTGGGTGCATATATTTTTAGGATAGTTAGCTCTTCTTGTTGAATTGATCCCTTTACCATTATGTAATGGCCTTCTTTGTCTCTTTTGATTTTTGTTGGTTTAAAGTCTGTTTTATCAGAGACTAGGATTGCAACCCCTGCATTTTTTTGTTTTCCATTTGCTTGGTAGATCTTCCTCCATCCCTTTATTTTGAGCCTATGTGTGTCTCTGCACGTGAGATGGGTTTCCTGAATACAGCACACTGATGGATCTTGACTCTTTATCCAATTTGCCAGTCTGTGTCTTTTAATTGGAGCATTTAGCCCATTTACATTTAAGGTTAATATTGTTATGTGTGAATTTGATCCTGTCATAATGTTAGCTGGTTATTTTGCTCATGAGTTGATACACTTTCTTCCTAGCATCGATGGTCTTTTCAATTTGCCATGTTTTTGCAGTGGTTGGTACCATTTGTTCCTTTCCATGCTTAGTGCTTCCTTCAGGAGCTCTTGTAAGGCAGGCCTGGTGGTGACAAAATCTCTCAGCCTTTGTTTGTCTGTAAAGGATTTTATTTCTCCTTTACTTATGAAGCTTAGTTTGGCTGGATATGAAATTCTGAGTTGAAAATTATTTTATTTAATAATGTTGAATATTGGCCCCCACTCTTCTGGCATGTAGAGTTTCTGCCGAAAGATCTGCTGTTAGTCTGATGGGCTTCCCTTTGTGGGTAACCCGACCTTTCTCTCTGGCTGCCCTTAACATTTTTTCCTTCATTTCAACTTTGGTGAATCTGAAAATTATGTGTCTTGGGATTGCTCTTCTCGAGGAGTATCTTTGTGGTGTTCTCTGTATTTCCTGAATTTGAATGTTGGCGTGCCTTCCTAGGCTGGGGAAGTTCTCCTGGAAAATATCCTGAAGAGTGTTTTCCAACTTGGTTCCACTCTCCCTGTCACTTTCAGGTACATCAATCAGATGTAGATTTGGTCTTTTCACATAGTCTCATATTTCTTGAGGGCTTTGTTAGTTTCTTTTTACTCTTTTTTCTCTAAACTTCTCTTCTCACTTCATTTCACTCATTTGATCTTCAATCATTGATACCCTTTCTTCCAGTTGACCGAATCAGCTACTGAAGCTTGCGCATGCGTCACGTAGTTCTTGTGCCATAGTTTTCAGCTCCATTAAGTCATTTAAGGTCTTCTCTACTCTGTTTCTTCTAGTTAGCCTCTTGTCTAATCTTTTTTCAAGGTTTTTAGCTTCTTTGCAATGGGTTCGAACATCCTCCTTTAGCTTGGAGAAGTTTGTTATTACCGATCGTCTGAAGCCTTCTTCTCACAACCTGTCAAAGTCATTCTCTGTCCAGCTTTGTTCCGTTGCTGGCGAGGAGCTGCGTTTCCTTGGAGGAGAAGAGCCGCTCTGATTTTTAGAATTTTCAGCCTTTCTGCTCTGGTTTCTCCCCATCTTTGTGGTTTTATCTACCTTTCGTCTTTGATGATGGTGATGTATAGGTGGGGTTTTGGTGTGGATGTCCTTTCTGTTTGTTAGTTTTCCTTCTAAGTCAGGACCCTCAGCTGCAGGTCTGTTGGAGTTTGCTGGAGGTCCACTCTAGACCCTGTTTGCCTGGGTATCACCAGCGGAGGTGTAGAACAGCAAATATTGCAGAGGGGCAAATGTTGCTGCCTGATCCTTCCTCTGGAAGCTTCGTCTCAGAGAGGCACCCATAGTTGGAAGTAAAGCACTCCTCAGCAAATGTAAAAGAACAGAAATTATAACAAACTGTCTCTCAGATCACAGTGCAATCAAACTAGAACTCAGGATTAAGAAACTCACTCAAAACTGCTCAACTACATGGAAACTGAACAACCTGCTCCTGAATGACTACTGGGTACATAACGAAATGAAGGCAGAAATAAAGATGTTCTTTGAAACCAATGAGAACAAAGACACAACATACCAGAATCTCTGGGACACATTTAAAGCAGTGTGTAGAGGGAAATTTATAGCACTAAATGCCCACAAGAGAAAGCAGGAAAGATCTAAAATTGACACCCTAACATCAGAACTAGAAGAACTGGAGAAGCAAGAGCAAACACATTCAAAAGCTAGCAGAAGGCAAGAAATAACTAAGATCAGAGCAGAACTGAAGGAAATAGAGACACAAAAAAACCCTTCAAAATATCAGTGAGTCCAGGAGCTGGTTTTTGAGAAGATCAACACAATTGATAGACAGCTAGCAAGACTAATAAAGAAGAGAAAAGAATCAAATAGACACAATAAAAAATGATAAAGGGGATATCACCACCAATCCCACAGAAATACAAACTACCATCAGAGAATACTATAAACATCTCTACGCAAATAACCTAGATAATCTAGAAGAAATGGATAAATTCCTGGACACACACACCCTCCCAAGACTAAACCAGGAAGAAGTTGAATCCCTGAATAGACCAATTACAAGCTCTGAAATTGAGGCAATAATAGCCTACCAACCAAAAAGAGTCCAGGACCAGATGGATTCACAGTCAAATTCCACCAGAGGTACAAATAGGAGCTGGTAGCATTCCTTCTGAAACTCTTCCAATCGACAGAAAAAGAGGGAATCCTCCTTAGCTCATTTTATGAGGCCAGCATCATCCTGATACCAAAGCCTGGCAGAGACACAACAAAAAAAAAAAAAAGAGAGAATTTTAGACCAATATCCCTGATGAACATTGATGTAAAAATCCTCAGTAAAATACTGGCAAACCGAATCCAGCAGCACATCAAAATATTTATCCACCATGATAGAATTGGCTTCATCCCTGAGATGCAAGGCTGGTTCAACATACGCAAATCAATAAATGTAATCCATCATATGAACAGAACCTAAGACAAAAACCACAACATTATCTCAATAGATGCAGAAAAGGCCTTCAACAAAATTCAACAGCACTTCATGCTAAAAACTCTCAATAAACTAGGTATTCATGGGACATATCTCAAAATGATAAGAGCTATTTATGACAAACCCACAGCCAATATGATACTGAATGAGCAAAAACTGGAAACATTCCCTTTGAAAACTGGCACAAGACAGGATGCCCTCTCTCACCACTCCTATTCAACGTAGTGTTGGAAGTTCTGGCCAGGGCAATCAGGCAGGATAAAGAAATAAAGGGTATTCAATTAGGAAAAGAGAAAGTCAAATTGTCCCTGTTTGCAGATGACATGATTGTATATTTAGAAAACCCCATCATCTCAGCCCAAAATCTCCTTAAGCTGATAAGCAACTTCAGCAAAGTCTCAGGATACAAAATCAATGTGCAAAAATCACAGGCATTCCTGTACACCAGTAACAGACAAACAGAGAGCCAAATCGTGAGTGAATTCCCATTCACAATTGCTTCAAGGAGAATAAAATACCTAGGAATCCAACTTACAAGGGATGTGAAGGACCTCCTCAAGGAGAACTACAAACCACTGCTCAACGAAATAAAAGAGGACACAAACAAATTCAAGAACATGCCATGCTCATGGATAGGAAGAAACAATATTTTGAAAATGGCCTTACTGCCCAAGGTAATTTATAGATTCAATGCCATCCCCATCAAGCTACCAATGACTTTCTTCAAATAATTGGAAAAAACTATTTTAAAGTTCATATGCAACCAAAAAAGAGCCCACATTGCCAAGACAATCCTAAGCCAAAAGAACAAAGCTGGAGGCATCATGCTACCTGACTTCTAACTATACTATAAGGCTGCAGTAACCAAAACAGCATGGTGCTGGTACCAAAACAGAGATATAGACCAACAAAACAAAGCAGAGCCCTCAGAAATAATACCACACACCTACAACCGTCTGATCTTTGACAAACCTGACAAAAACAAGCAATGGGGAAAGGATTCCCTATTTAATAAATGGTGCTGGGAAAACCGGCTAGCCATATGTAGAAAGCTGAAACTGGATCCCTTCCTTACACCTTATACAAAAATTAATTCAAGATGGATTAAAGACTTAAATGTTAGACCTAAACCCATAAAAACCCTAGAAGAAAACCTGGGCATTACCATTCAGGACATAGGCATGGGCAAGGACTTCATGTCTAAAACACCAAAAGCAATGGCAACAAAAGCCAAAATTGACAAATGGGATCTAATTAAACTAAAGGGCTTCTGCATAGCAAAAGTAACTACCATCAGAGTGAAAAGGCAACCTACAGAACGGGAGAAAATTTTTACAATCTACCCATCTGACAAAGGGCTAATATGCAGTATCTACAAAGAACTCAAACAAATTTACAAGAAAAAATCAACCCCATCAAAAAGTGGGCAAAGGATATGAATAGACACTTCTCGAAAGAGGACATTTATGTAGCCAACAGACACATAAAAAAATGCTCATCATCACTGACCATCAGAGAAATGCAAATCAAAACCACAACGAGATACCATCTCATACCAGTTAGAATGGCGATCATGAAAAAGTCAGGAAACACAACAGGTGCTGGAGAGGATGTGGAGAAATAGGAACACTTTTACACTGTTGGTGGGACTGTAAACTAATTCAACCATTGTGGAAGACATCTTCTATCAGTTGAGTAAGTGTTTATAAAGATATGTTTAAATTGTCAAAAGTATTGCTATAAAGTTGTTAATAATAACATCTGTAGTGATATCTCTTTATTCTTGATATTGATTATTTAGGTACTTGCTCTCTATCTCTCTCACTTTTCACCCCTTTCTCCTCTTTCTCTTTGGAGAATTTTGCTGAAGTACTCTCAACTTTATTTTCTTCTTCTTTTAAAAGCCAACTTTTAGTTTTGCTGATTTTCTCTATATCACATTGCTATGTACTGGTATTTCTTCCTGCTCTTCACGTTGATCAGCTCTGACCAAACACTTTCTTTGAAGTCCTAATATTTGTTATTTAATTTTACTTCAGCATTTACTTATAATAATTCACATTTTCTTTTATTTAATTATTATACTTTAAGTTCTGGGAAACGTGCAGAATGTGCAGGTTTGTTATATATGTATACATGTGCCATGGTGGTTTGCTGCACCCATCAACCCATCATCTACATTAGGTATTTCCCCTAACGTTATCCCTCCCCTTGCCCCCCGCTGCCCTGAGAGGCAATGTTGATGGTCTTTACATTGTGGTATGTGTTTGCAGTGGCTGGTACCAGTTTTCCTTTCCATATTTAGTGCTTCCTTCAGGAGCTCTTGTAAGGCAGGCCTGGTGGTGACAAAATCTCTCAACATTTGCTTGTCTGTAAAGGGTTTTATTTCTCCTTCACTTATGAAGCACGGTTTGGCTGGATATGAAATTCTGGGTTGAAAATTATTTTATTTAAGAACGTTGAATATTGGCCCCCACTCTCTTCTGGCTCGTAGGGTTTCTGCAGAGAGATCTGCTGTTAGTCTGATGGGCTTCCCTTTGTAGGTAACCCGACCTTTCTCTCTGGCTGCCCTTAACATTTTTTCCTTCATTTCAACTTTGGTGAATCTGACAATTATGTGTCTTGGGATTGCTCTTCTCGAGAAATATCTTTGTGGTGTTCTCTGTATTTCCTGATTTTGAATGTTGGCCTGTCTTGCTAGGTTGGGGAAGTTCTCCTGGATAATATCCTGAAGAGTGTTTTCCAACTTGATTCCATTCTTCCTGTCACTTTCAGGTGCACCAAACAAATGTAGTTTTGGTCTTTTCACATAGTGCCATATTTCTTGGAAGCTTTTTTTGTTCCTTTTCATTCTTCTCTAATCTTGTCTTCATGCTTTATTTCATTAAATTGATCTTCAATCTCTGATGTCCTTTCTTCTGCTTGATTAATTCGGCTACTGATACTTGTGTATGCTTCACGAAGTTCTTGTGCTGTGTTTTTCAGCTCCATCAGGTCATTTATGTTCTTCTCTAAACTGGTTATACTAGTTAGCAATTCCTGTAACCTTTTATCAAGGTTCTTAGCTTCCTTGCATTGGGTTAGAACATGCTCCTTTAGCTCCAAGGAGTTTGTTATTACCCGCCTTCTGAAGCCTACTTCTGTCAATTTGTTAAATTCATTCTCTGTCCAGTTTTGTTCCCTTGCTGGGGAGGAGTTGTGATCCTTTGGAGGAGAAGAGGTGTTCTGGTTTTTGGAATTTTTAGACTTTTTGTGCTGGTTTTCTCATCTTCATGGATTTATCTACCTTTCCTCTTTGCTGTTGGTGACCTTCAGATAGGGTTTTTGTGTGGTTGTCCTTTTTGTCGATGTTGATGCTCTTCCTTTCTGTTTGTTAGTTTTCCTTTTAACAGTCAGGCCCCTCTTCTGCAGGCCTGCTGGAGTTTGCTGGAGGTCCACTCCTGGCCCTGTTTGCCTGGGTATCACCAGCAGAGGCTGCAGAACAGCTAAGATTGCTGCCTGCTCCTTCCTCTGGAAGCTCCGTCCCAGAGGGGCACATGCCAGATGCCAGTCAGAGCTCTCCTGTATGAGTTGTCTGTTGACCCCTACTGGGAGGTGTCTCCCAGACAGGAGGCATGGGGGTCAGGGACTCACTTGAGGAGGCAGTCTGTCCCCTTAGCAGAGCTCAAGTGCTGTGCTGGGAGATCTGCTGTTCTTTTCAGAGCTGGCAGGCAGGGACGTTTAAGTCTGCTGAAGCTGTGCCCACAGCTGTCCCTTCCCCCAGGTGCTCTGTCCCAGGGAGATGGGAATTTTATCTTTAAGACCCTGACTGGTGCTGCTGCCTTTCTTTCAGAGATGCCCTGCCCAGGGAGGAGGAATATAGAGAGGCAGTCTGGCTACAGTGGCTTTGTGGTGCTGTGGTGGCCTCCACCCAATCTGAATTTCTGGGCAGCTTTGTTTACACTGTGAGGGGAAAATGCCTACTCAAGCCTCAGTAATGGCAGACACCCCTCCCCCCACCAAGCTCTAGTATCCCAGGTCAACTTCAGCGTGCTGTGCTGACAGCGAGAATTTCAAGCCAGTGTATCTTAGCTTGTTGGGCTCTGTAGGGGTAGGATCCACTGAGCAAGACCACTTGGCTCCCTGGCTTCAGCCCCCTTTCCAGGGGAGTAAACGGTTCTGTCTTGCTGATGTTCCAGGCACTACTGGGGTATGAACAAAAACTCCTGCAGCTAGCTCGGTGTCTGCCCAAATGGCCGCCCAGTTTTGTGCTTGAAACCCAGGGCCCTGGTGGTGCAGGCACCCAAGGGAATCTCCTGGTCTGTGGATTGCAAAGACCATGGGAAAAGCGTAGTATCTGGGCCAGATAGCATCATCCCTCACAGCACAGTTTCTCATGGCTTCCCTTTGCTAGGGAAGGGAGTTCCCTGACCCCTTGTTCTTCCTGGGTGAGGCAACATCCTACCCTGCTTCTGCTTGCCCTCCCTGGGCTCCACCCACTGTGTAGCCAGTCCCAATGAGATGAACCAGGTACCTCAGTTGGAAAAATCACCCACCTTCTGCATTGGTCTCACAGGGAGCTGCAGACTGGAGCTGTTCCTATTTGGCCATCTTACCCAGGAATGAAGGGGAGTTTATTAAGGAGTATTGACTCACACAAGGTGAAGTCCCACAATAGGCCATCTGTAAGCTGAGGACCAAAGAAGCCAGTCTGAGTCCCAAAACCTCAAAAATAAGGAAGCCAACAGTGCGGCCTTCTGTCTGTGGCCAAAGGCCTGAGAGACCCTGGCAAATCACTGATGTAGGTCCCAGAGTCCACAAACATCAGATCTTTGAGTCTGATGTTTGAGGGCAGGAAGTGTCCAGCGTGGGAGAAATGTGGTGGCCGGAAGACTTAGCCAGTCGAGTCCTTCCACCTTTCTCCACCTGCTTTTATCCTGGCCACACTGGCAGCTGATTAGACGGTGCCTACCCAGATTGAGGGTGGGTCTGCCAATAATTAACATTGTCTAAATACAGTTCCATATGAAATTATTGTCCAATTAGTGTGATGGAACCTTCTCTCAATAAGGTGAATGAGAGTTGTTAGGATAGCAATCTCTCTCTAAAATGAGCTCGTAGGCAAGTGATAGCATGGCCAACTGGAGTTGCTTGGCATTTGTCTCCCCACAAAGAGAGACCGAAACAACAAATAAACAAGTATATTTCATCTGGAGTGACTGAGGAAGTTTGCTGGATAGCACCAGAGGAGCAGCAAAATCTGTGGAGCATGGATGTATAGGACAGCACCATAGAAAGGTGAGTGAGTCACCCTGCCTCTGATACACTGTCTTCCCTGCTAGGACAGGCTCAGAGTCAAGGAAGACTTCTTCTTGCAAGGAAAAAGTAAGGTGGAGACCACTCAGTGGTCCTCATTACTGCCTTAGATGCCAGTAGTTTACTACAGGAGGGTCCTTCAGTCCTCACAGGACCTGAAGCCAATTTGGAGAATTGCTAGGAGTTTGTGCTGCTGAATTGTCTTGGGGTAGGGGCCCATGTTTAGTACCTTCCTTTCCTATGATTTAAGTTGCTATGGAATGGCACCATCCTGAAGCTGGACCTACTACCAGAGTGTGTCCTACCCCAGGGGCCAGTAGCCACTGACTCTTTCCATTTGTGAGGCCCTACAGTTGTTCCACCACATTCACATGGGTTTCTGCAGCACTGCAATTCTGACTGCCCAGAGCCTAGGTCCAACAAAACAGTTGATAATTTGGTTTCAAATTCCATGTGCCTAACCTCTTTCTAGGGAATGAAAAGACCTGCAGAGTAAGGAAGCTGCCTAATAGCTAGCTGACCTGCTGCGCCTGTGCACACTGGCATAGCATAGCCAGCTGGCCCACTGAGGCTGTGTATGCCTATGTCCAGCTTGAAAACCAGAACAGTGGTGTCCCTGCCTCTCTGGAGAGACCAACCCACAGCCACCTGACTTGCAGAACTTGCTTGTAACCCCACCTGTTGCCTTTCCAGACAGTCAGTCTGGCAGCAGCCCTGCACCCTTAGAAAGTCCATTGCACAAACTGTTGATCCGTTATGAGTAAACATGCTTGGCCTGACAATCAGCCCAGTGCCCGTGTCCCCAACAAAACTGTGGCATTGCCATCACAAACTCTCACATCTTAGCCATTGAGACAATCACAGACATAATGAGGAGGATTATAATTAAAGAAATTGCACAGAGATGATGCTACTGAGTCCTCACAGAACCAAAGCCAATGCACCATAGCCAACTGACACTCTGACCATCTGCAGGAAAAAGTCTCTCCCTACAAAAGCTACTCCATAAAGTTAGAAAAAGTGACGGCTCCATTGGATGCACAGATATCAATGTGGGGACTTAAGAAACATGAAAAAGCAGGGACATATGACACCCTCAATGCAACAAATAAGTCTATAGTAACAGACCCCAAAGAAAAGGATACTTATGAAATGTCTGAAAGGAATTCAGAATAATGATCTTAAGGAAGCTCAGGGAGATACAAAAAATATAGACAAAGAATTCAATAAAATTAGGAAAAAAGTTTATTATCTGAACAAGAAATCCAATAAAGAGATAGATATTATGGAAAAGAACCACACAGAAATCTTAGAGCTGAAGAATTCAATGAATGAAGTAAAAATACCATTGAGGGCTTCAACAACAGACTAATCAAGCAGAAAAATTTATAAACTTGCTTTCAAAATAATCCAGAGGAAAAAGAATCAAACAATGAAGAAAGCCTATGGGACTTAGGGAACATCATTAAGTGAACTAATATTTGCATTATAGGGATGCTGGGGGAAGAAATGGAGAAGGGTACATAAAACCTCTTAAATAATTACTGAAACCTTCCCAAGTCTAGGGAAAGACATGATCATCAAGATCCTGGAATTTCAAAAATTCTAAATTATATTCAACCTGCAAAAATCTTCTCTGATGTACTTTATAATCAAACTGTCAAATGTCAAACACAGAGAATTCTAAAAGCTGCATGAGAGAAACATCAAGTTACAGAAACTGAAATTCCTGCTAGATTATCAGCAGATGTTTCAGCCAAAACCATCCAGGCTAGAAGAGAATGGTATATTCAACATACTAAAAAAAAGAAAACCAACTGTCAGTAAAGAATACTATACCTAGCAAAGGTTTCCTTTAGAAATAAAGGAGAAATAATATACCTATCAAAGGTTTCCTTCAGAAATAAAGGAGAAATAAAGATCTTCCCAGACAAGCAAAAGCTGAGGGAATTCATCACTAGCCTAGCCTTACAAGAAATGCTTAAGGGAATATTACAGCTGTAAACAAGAGGATGATAATTACTATCATGAATACACATGAAAGCATAAAACCTCCAGGAGAGGTAAATACATAATCAAGCTCAGAATACCCCAGTGCTCTAATGGTGCAATCTAAATCTTTCGTTGTTCTAGTATAAAAGTTTAAAGTAAAAATGGTTAAAAAAAAAGCAACAGATACCATTAGTGGCAGAGGAACACATACTACATAAAGATATAAATTAGGGAAAAAAAATAAATTGTAGGATGGAGGGAAAATATCTAGAGTACTTTTATGTTCACTAAACTAAGAATGTTATCAGCTTAAAATTAGCTATTATAACTACAAGACTCTTTATGTTAGTTCCATAGTAACCACAAAGAAAGAAATTATAGTAAATACACAAAAGAGAAAGAGAAAGGAAACAAAGCCTAGCATCACAAAAAAACCACCAATCTAGAGAGGTAAACAACAAAAGAGGAACAGAGGGCCTAAAAAACAATCAGAAAACAAGGAACAAAGTTGCAGGAGTAAGTTCTTATCTATCAATAATAATGTAGAATGTAAATGGGTTAAATCCCCTAATTAAAAGATACAGAGTGAGTGAATGGACATAAAAACAAGACCCAACTGTATGCTGCCAATAAGGTACTCACTTTGCTTTTAAAGACAAACATAGACTGAAAGTGAAGGAATAGAAAAAGATATTCTTTGAAAATGGAAAACAAAACTGAGCAGGAGTAGCCATGCTTATGTAAAAAAATAGGCTTTAATTAAAAAATTATAGAAAGAAACAGAGAAGGTTATATAATGATAAAGGGATTAACTCAACAAGAGGATGTAACAATTGTAAATATATATTCACCCAGCACCAAAGCTCCTAAATATATAAATATTATTACATCTAAAGTGAAAGATAGACTGCAATATAAAATTAGTAGAGCACTTTAACACCCAACTTTCAACAATGGACAGATCATTAAGATAAAAAAATAAAGAAACATTGGACTTAAACTGCACTATAGACCAAATGGACCTAAAAGACATTTATGGAACATGCCATCCAACATCTGCACATGGAACATTCTTCAGGATAGATCATATGTTAAGCTACAAAACAAGTTTCAACAAATTTAAGAAGATAGGAATTACATCAAGTATCTTTTCTGATCACAGTGGTAGAAAGCTAGAAATCAACAAGAAAATCTTCAGAAACATAACAAAAACATGGACATTAGTCAACACGCTCCTAAATAACCAGTGGATCAATGAGGAAATTAAAAGGGAAATATAAAAATACCTTGTGACAAACAAGAATGAAAACACATCATACCAAAACCCACGGGACATAGCAAAAGCAGTTATATCAGAGTTATTTATAGCAATAAATGCCTACATCAAAAAGGAAGAAAGATTTTTAATAAACAACATGATAATGCACTGCAAGGACCTAAAAACACCAAGAAAAACTAAACCTAAAATTGGTAGAAGGGAGGAAATAATAAATCTCAGAGCAAAAATAAACAAAATACAGACTGAAAACCATTCAAAAGATCAATGAAACAAAGAACTTTTTTAAGAAACATAACCAATATTGACAAATCATTAGCCAGACTAAGACAGAGAAGACTCAACTAAATAAAATTTGAAATAAAAAAGGAGACATTACAACTTGATACCACAGAAATACAAAGGTTCAAAAGAGACTACTGTGAACAACTATACCTCAACAAATTTGATAATATAGAAGAAACATATAAATTCCTAGACATTTACAACCTACCAAGTTTAAATTATGAAGATATAGAAAATCTAAACAGACCAAGGGTGAGTGAGGAAATTGAATCAGTAACAAAAAATCTTCCATCAAAGAAAAGCTCAGGACCTGATGACTTCACTGCTGAAATCTGCAAAATATTTAAAAAAGAACTAAAACCAATGCTCCTTCAACTCTTCTATAAACTCGAGGAGAGAATACTTTCAAGCTCATTTTGTGAGGCCAGCAATTTACTGATTCCAAAACAGACAAGGACACAACAACAACAAAACTACAATTCAATATCCTTGACGAACATAGATGCAAACATTCTCAACAATATACTAGCAAACTAAATCCAACAGCACATTAAAAAGATCATTCAGTAGGATCAAGTGGGATTTATCCCAGGCATGCAAGGATAGTTCAACATATGCAAATCAATAAATGTGATATACCACATTAACAGAAAGGAAAACAAAAACTGTATGATAATTTCAAAATTTTTAGGAAAAGCATTTGACAAAATTCAACATCATTTCCTGATAAAAACTCTCAACAAATTAAGTATAGAAGATATGTACCTCAACTCAATAAAGGCCATCTATGACAAACACACCGCTAACACCAAACTGTTCCTCTCAGATTGGAAACAAGACAAAGATACCCATTTATCTTTATTTTTTTATTTTTAGTTTTTTATTTTTGTTTTATTTTATTATTATTATACTTTAAGTTTTAGGGTACATGTGCACAATGTGCAGGTTAGTTACATATGTATACATGTGCCATGCTGGTGTGCTGCACCCATTAACTCGTCATTTAGCATTAGGTATATCTCCTAATGCTATCCCTCCCCACTCCCCCCACCCCACAACAGTCCCTAGAGTGTGATGTTCCCCTTCCTGTGTCCATGTGTTCTCATTGTTCGGTTCCCACCTATGAATGAGAACATGCGGTGTTTGGTTTTTTGTCCTTGCGATAGTTTACTGAGAATGATGATTTCCAATTTCATCCATGTCCCTACAAAGGACATGAACTCATCCTTTTTTATGGCTGCATAGTATTCCATGGTGTATATGTGCCACATTTTCTTAATCCAGTCTATCATTGTTGGACATTTGGGTTGGTTCCAAGACTTTGCTATTGTGAATAGTGCTGCAATAAACATACATGTGCATGTGTCTTTGTAGCAGCATGATTTATAGTCCTTTGGGTATATACCCAGTAATGGGATGGCTGGGTCAAATGGTATTTCTAGTTCTAGATCCCTGAGGAATCGCCACACTGACTTCCACAATGGTAGAACTAGTTTACAGTCCCACCAACAGTGTAAAAGTGTTCCTATTTCTCCATATCCTCTCCAGCACCTGTTGTTTCCTGACTTTTTAATGATTGCCATTCTAACTGGTGTGAGGTGGTATCTCATTGTGGTTTTGATTTGCATTTCTCTGATGGCCAGTGATGGTGAGCATTTTTTCATGTGTTTTTTGGCTGCATAAATGTCTTCTTTTGAGAAGTGTCTGTTCATATCCTTCACCCACTTTTTGATGGGGTTGTTTGTTTTTTTCTTGTAAATTTGTTTGAGTTCATTGTAGATTCTGGATATTAGCCCTTTGTCAGATGAGTAGGTTGCAAAAATTTTCTCCCATTTTGTGGGTTGCCTGTTCACTCTGATGGTAGTTTCTTTTGCTGTGCAGAAGCTCTTTAGTTTAATTAGATCCCATTTGTCAATTTTGGCTTTTGTTGCCATTGCTTTTGGTGTTTTAGACATGAAGTCCCTGCCCATGCCTATGTCCTGAATGGTAATGCCTAGGTTTTCTTCTAGGGTTTTTATGGTTTTAGGTCTAACGTTTAAGTCTTTAATCCATCTTGAATTAATTTTTGTATCAGGTGTAAGGAAGGGATCCAGTTTCAGCTTTCTACATATGGCTAGCCAGTTTTCCCAGCACCATTTATTAAATAGGGAATCCTTTCCCCATTGCTTATTTTTCTCAGGTTTGTCAAAGATCAGACAGTTGTAGATATGCGGTGTTATTTCTGAGGGCTCTGTTCTGTTCCATTGATCTATATCTCTGTTTTGGTACCAGTACCATGCTGTTTTGGTTACTGTAGCCTTGTAGTATAGTTTGAAGTCAGGTAGTGTGATGTCTCCAGCTTTGTTCTTTTGGCTTAGGATTGACTTGGCGATGCGGGCTCTTTTTTGGTTTCATATGATCCTTAAAGTAGTTTTTTCCAATTCTGTGAAGAAAGTCATTGGTAGCTTGATGGAGATGGCATTGAATCTGTAAATTACCTTGGGCAGTATGGCCATTTTCATGATATTGATTCTTCCTACCCGTGAGTATGGAATGTTCTTCCATTTGTTTGTATCCTCTTTTATTTCATTGAGCGGTGGTTTGTAGTTCTTGAAGGGGTCCTTCACGTCCCTTGTAAGTTGGATTCCTAGGTATTTAATTCTCTTTGAAGCAATTGTGAATGGGAGTTCACTCATGATTTGGCTCTCTGTTTGTCTGTTATTGGTGTATAGAGACACAAAAAACCCTTCAAAAAGTTAATGAATCCAGGAGCTGGTTTTTTGAAAGCGTCAACAAAATTGATAGACTGCTAGCAAGACTAATAAAGGAGAAAAGAGAGAAGAATCAAATAGATGCAATAAAAAAGATACCCTTTTTTTTAACCACTTCTTTTTAACATAATACTAGAAGTCTTCATCCAAGCAATTAAGCAAGAGAAAGAAACAAGATGCATCCAAATTGGAAAGGAGAAGGTCAAAGTGTTCCTGTTTGAAGACAACATGATCTTATATATAGAAAACTCTAACAACTCCACCAAAAAATATTAGAACTAATAAATGAATTCAGTAAAGTTTCACAATACAAAATCAACATACAAAAATCAGTAGCATTTCTATATGATTATAGTGAACTGTCTGAAAAAGAACTCAAGGAAACAATTCCATGATAGCTATAAAAAAATTAAGATACCTAGAAATAAACTAAACCAAAGTTGTGAAAGATGTCTTCATTGAAGACTTCAAAACACTTATTAAAGAAATTGAGGAAGGCACAAATAAATGGAAAGATATCCCATGTTCATGAATTGGAAGAATTAACATTGTTAAAGTGGCTATACTACCTGAAGCAACCCTATGAAAATATCAATATTCTTCACATAAATAGAAAAAATATCTTAAAATTCTTATGGAACCACGAGAGACCCCAAAAGCCAAGACAGTCTTGAGTAAAAGGTACAAAGCTTGAGGCATTACACAACATGACTTAAAAATATATTACAAAGCTTTAGTAACCAAAACAGCATTGTACTGGCATAAAAACCAAACACATAGACCAAGGGAACAAAACAGAGAGCCCAGAAATAAATTCTGACATCTACAGCCAACTGATTTTCAACAAAAGTGCCACCAAGAACACACATTGGGGAAAAGATAGTCTCTTCCATACACAGTGGTGGGAAATTGGATATCTACATGAAAAAGAATGAGACTAGACCCCTACCTCTTAACGTACAACAGTAAACTCAAAATGGACTAATGACTTAAATCCAAAACTATCAAAGTACTAGAAGATAACATAAGGAAAATGCTTCACAGCATTGAGCTGGGCAAGGATGAGACTCAAATGCACAGGGAACAAAAGCAAAAAAAAACCAAATATGATTACATCAAATTGAAAAGCTTTTCCACAGCAAAACAAAACAAAAAATCCAAAACAAACAAAATAATAGCATAAAGAGACAACCTACAGAATGGGAGAAAGTATTTGCAAACTATATATCTGACAAGGAGTTAGTATCCAGAATATATAAGAAATTTAACAGCAAAAAAATCTAGTAGCCCAAGTAACAAATGGGCAAGAGACCTTAATAGGCATTTCTCAAAAGAAGACATACAAATGAGCAACACATACATGAAAAAATGCTCGTGACTAATCGTCAAGAAAACATAAATCAAAACCATAATGAGATACCATCTCATTTGAGTTAGAATGGCAATTATCAAAAAGACAGAAGAAAACAAGTATTAACGAAGATATAGAGAAAAGGAAACACTTATATACTGCTAGTAGGATGGTAAATTAGTAAGCGATCATGGAAAACAGTATGGAGGTTTCTCAAAATGTTAAAAATAGACCTGACATGATCCAGCAATCAAACTACTGGGTCTGTATCCACAGGAGATGAATTCTGTCTGTTGAGATATCTGTACTCCAATGTTTTTGCAGCACTGTTCACAATATCCAAGAAATAGAATCAACCTAAGTGTTTAACAATGGATGAATGGTAGACAAAATGTGGTACATATACAGAATAAAATACTATTCAGCTATAAAAAGAATGAATCCCGTCATTTGTGACAATATGAATGAAACTCAAGGACATCATATTTAGTGAAACAAGCCAGACCCAAAAAGACAAATACCATGTGATCTCAGTCATATGTGGTATCTTAAAAAAATATCGATATCACAGAAGCAGATAGTAGAACAGTGGTTACTAGAAATTGGGTAGGCGGGAGGTGGAGGAGGATGGAAAGAAGTTAGTCAACTGGTACAAAGTTACAATGAGATAGGAGGAGTTAAGTTCTGGTGTTCTGTTGCACAGTAGGGTGATGATGGTTAACAGTAAGGTATTGTATATTACAAAATAGCTAGAAGAGAGGATTTTGAATGTTCTTGTATGCCATAAATGTTGAAGAGCATTTGGAGAAATGGAAAAAACTTTTGTTAATGCCACCACCGTCTCTCAGCCATGATTAACAACTTAGTTTATTTCCTTCTGATTTTGTTCTCTTTGCTTCTCCTTAAAACACACTGGCTATACAAATTTGAACTTTTTTGTAGTTAAGTTTAATATAATTATTTCATTTCCACAACTGGAAAAAAAATGTCCAGTTCATTTTCTCTCAAGGCTTGTAAGAGAATTCCGCCCTACGTACCAGTGCATCAACTCTCCAGGCTTCCCACCTGCCTGCCCCACCACGGATTGCTCAGTATCAGAGCAAAGGCCATGTTGTTTTTCCCGGTCTTCTGATACTTTGTGAAGGCAGCTGAAGGAAGTAAGGAAAGGAAGGAGGTATTCTCAATCCATTTTGGAAGTGGAAAATAGATTTTTTAAAATAATAAAATTTAAACATTCTATATAGATTCAATTTCATGCAGGAATCCACTGTATCACAACAGGTACAGTGGGAGGTAGATGATGCTTGCCTATTTACATTCAGGCAGTTGCTGCTTGCCCTTTTAATTCTATGGTCAGCTATCTCCCAAAATTCGATTGTCATCATCAAGTATCTTTTCATAAATATTTTTATTTATTGGTGTGATTTTAGTAATTTATACCAAGATGATTCCAAAATGATTTGAAAATGCTGAAATTTAATATATTTAAAATATTTTTATTTTTGTTACAATAACTATTCAAAACATTAATTGAAGTGTAGATGTTTATAATAAAATAATAGAATAAACTCATTTTTAATATAATGATAGCATAATTTGTGTCACACATTACTGGTAATACATTTCTTTTATGTATGCTCTCCTTTGAGTTTCACAGGCTCCCCAGGCATGGCCAGCCTTAGTTTTCCTGTTTTTCAGATGAGGGAATTAAAATCAGAAAGTTTGTGACTACCTGGAGCCTCACAAGTATCTGGCTTGTGATTCCATGCCTTTGTATGTTCCATTTTATAATGTTGCTTTGTGTATGCTCATACTGTCTTATGTGTATTTATGACAATTTTGTTTTTGATGATAAAATTGGAATATTTCAGTTTTATCAAACCATTTCAGTTTTATCAAAAGGCAAAACAAAGTGATTCAGTGTAGGAGGGGCTTATAAAGTGAGCATTTTGTGGTACATAAAATACCAGTTTAGTTTAGTTATGAACTAAAGCATAGTATAAAGTTGTGTGATTTTTTTTGACAGTTTTGGTCCATGCACTCAGTTAAAATTTGGTGTTTCTCACTATTTTACATATTTTTTGGAATTGCATTTTCAATCATTCTTACAAGTTTATCAATATAGTTACTGTCTCTTACACAACTTTCGAATGTTAGGCTTTATGTTGAATTATAAATTTATATTGCTCTATCGGTACGTAACAATATTATAGAAAATATACCATTTTGTATGATTCCCCACTGTTCACATTAATAGATATTTCATAAAGACAAATGTTTTATTATCTGAAAACACATCTTGCCTGATCTTCTTTAGGAAAACATGAAAAATACTTTTAATGTATCAAATTCTAAACAAAATTTTTCATGCTGGCAGAAATGCATGCTATGTTATTAAAAGTGTTCAGCAAATCTCTAAGAGAGACTTGTGGGATGTAAGAAAAGAGTTTTAAATCCATTACAAGAATTTTTATGTCTGAAATTGAGGTATCTCCTGCTCATTGTGTACTCTGTCAGGAAAATAAAAACCAACAGGATTTAGCTAATTTTAATTTGACTTCTAAAATTTCAAGAGAGACTGAATATACAGTCAATAAGTATTGATGGTGGCAGAAAGTGGATTACAGGTATTTCTTATTTGAAATAATCTTGAAATATAACATTTAAAAATTACAGGTAGGTCATTCATGTATATATCCTAAAGCAAGATTGAGATGGCATCTTTAGACCAGTGGTGTATAATAGAAATGAAATGTGAGACACACTTATAACTTAAAATTTTCTGGTAGTCACATTTAAGATGTAAGGAGAAATTGTTAAAAGAAATTTTAAACATACGTTTTATTTAACCTCATATCCAAAATTAATTATTTCTATAGGCAATCAATATAAAAAATTATGTTATATGTTTTGCATACTTTTTACCAAGTCTTCTAAATATAATGTATTATTTAATTTACAGCATATCTTAAATCATACTGGCCACATTTCAAGTGCTCATAGATGTACATAGCTTGTAGTTACCATATTGACAGTTCAGGCTTGGATGTTGTGCTCCAAAGGACTTTGGTCACTCATTTCTATATTTGTACTACCTCTCATAATGCTTGACACTTAGTAAATGTACAGTGTATTATGCTGTTCTTGCATTGCTATAAAGAAGTACCTGAGACTGGGTAATTTATAAGGAAAAATAGTTTAATTGGCTTATGGTTCTGCAGGCTGTACAAGCCTAGTGCAGACATCTGCTTCTGGGGAGGCCTCAGGAAGCTTTTACTCATGGCGGAAGGTGAAGCAGGAGCTTGCATGTTGCATGGTAAAAGCAGGGGCAACAGAGAGTGGTGGGGGCATGAGGAGATGAGGGAGTTGGTGCCACACACTTAAACAACCACATCTACCAAGAACCCACTCACTATGGTGAGGAGAGCACTGAGTCATGAGGGATCCACCCCCATGGCCCAAACACCTCCTACCACACCCCATCTCCAACAATGGGGATCACATTTCAACATAAGATTTGGTGGGGACACAGATCCAAACCATATCATACAGTAGATATTTAAGAAAGGAAGACAGTGAGAAAGGAAAAGAAAGGTAATAGAACTTTGTAGTAGATAGAGCTACATATCCACTTACTAGCTGATGGCCTTTGTTACTAAATTATCTTCCCTAACTTGTGTTCTTTGTAGGAATGAGGATATTCGTATCCGCTTTTCAGAAACATTGTGTAAGAATCAAATAAATGTAACATATGTAAAGCACCTCCTTTGTTTCCTTCCATCCTTTTCCTTTCTGTAGTCTTAATTAAGTTATATATTAGATGATTTAATATATGTGTATCCACTTTTATTAGATTTTATAAATTGCCCCACCAAATATAGTACATTTTTTTCCCAGTTACAATTGAGTAGAAAGGAAGAAACTAAAAATCAGAAAGTAGGAGTTTCTTGGCATCAAGATTATAACCAAGGACAATTATATTAAATTGCTTAGCATGCTGTGGAATTAATTGCCCATGATCTTAATTATAAATAATTTATAAAACAGCCTCTAAATGTACAGGTCCACATTTCGATGTATGACCATTTTGGTAAATGTGTCAGCTTGATATCCGATTTAAAAATTTAATGTCACAGTCACCTCAAATCTTTTCAATTTCCTTCTGCTCTCACCTGATCCATGGCTCAGGGAATTGCAGAAGAAAATAGGGGCATGATCTGTTCTTTTCTACACTCATGCTCATACATACACACATACAATATAAAAAGCCTGAAGAAGTGTGCAGGATATATATATATATATAAAATGTGCACACACACACATATATGTTATATAGATATATACATAGAAAGAAAGAGAGGTTGGCTTCATAGGCATGAGACCCTGCAATCACACAGGACCTTGCCTTTAGAAGAGTTTAATGCTGTGTAGCTGCTGTCTTGAAATTCTTAGTGGCTTTGTCTTTAAATCTGTGTTTGGTAAGAGAGTCTGATGGGATAAGGAAACGTGCAATGGAGGTTTGGAGCCTTGGCTTTCAATTGGCCACACCTGCTGCCATCTTCTCCATCTCCCAGGGAAGACTCTTGACCACCTGCTCCCTGGTTCATGTTATTAATTTTAAATGATACACCATTTACCAACTTCTTTTCCCTCTCAAAATTTTGGTTAGTTAAGATCTTTATTGATTTTATAACTTAGGCTAGGATAAAAAAAATCTCATGTTACACTTATTTTCCTTGAATATTTTGTCAACATTTTTCACTGCCTTCTAGTCTGCAGCTTTGCTTTTTATAGGCAGATTGTTCTTTTTGCCTAGCTATTCAAAAGATTATTTCTGTATTCTAGTAAAATTTATGAGGTGTGTTTTGGTGAGCATCCTACTGTGGCAATTCTTTTCCTCTGAGATAAGATATGTCCTTCAGTTTCAAGATTTTAATCTCATTTAACTTCAGTAACTTTTTATTAAACTATGTCTTTAACATGTTTTCTATTATTTTGTTTCCTTTCTTCTTTTTCTGTTTACCATGTCTATCATTTTTCTTTTACTCCTTTTAAGCTCTTCCTTTATTTTGTTTCATGTTGTTCACATCTATCAATCCTATTTTCAATGTTCCATCTTCTCTCTTCATTTCTGGAAATGATGTTTTTTTTTCTTTGCTACTTTATTGAACTGTTGGCTCAAGTCGTACTTTCTATTGTCTCACCATTATCTCTCCTCAGCTTTTATATCCTTTTTGTTGGTTTGTTCTTTTAATAGAGGAGATACCTTTTTGCCCCCAAAATCTTTTTGGTTTTTATGCTATGGTTTGTTTTTTTTCTTTTAATTTTACTTTAAGTTCTGGGATACATGTGCTGAATGTGCAGGTTTGTTACATAGGTATACATGTGCTATGGTGGTTTGCTGCACCTATCATCCCGTCATCTGGGTTTTAAGCCCCGCATGCATTAGGTATTTGTCCTAATGCTCTCCCTCCCCTTCCCTCCACCCCTCAACAGGCCCTGGCATGTGAAGTTTCCCTCCGTGTGTCCATGTGTTCTCATTGTTCAGCTCCTACTTATGAGTGAGAACATGAAGTGTTTGCTGTTCCTGTGTTAATTTGCTGCAGTTGATGGTTTTGAGCTTCATCCATGTCCCTACAGAGGACATGAACTCATTCTTTTTCCTGGCTGTGTAGTATTCCATGGTGTATATGTACCACATTTTCTTTATCCAGTCTATTATTGATGGACATTTGGGTTGGTTCCAAGTCTTTGCTATTGTGAATAGTGCTGCAATAAACATATGTGTGCATGTGTCTTTACAGTAGAATGATTTATCATCCTTTGGGTATATACCCAATAATGGGATTGCTGGGTCAAATGGTATTTCTTTTTCTAAATCCTCGAGAAATCGCCACACTGTCTTCCATAATGGTTGAACTAATTTACACTCCCACCAACAGTGTAAAAGCATTTCTATTTCTTCACATCCTCACCAGCATCTGTTGTTTCCTGACTTTTTAAGGACAGCCATTCTAAGTGATTGACCCCAAAATCTTCTTAGGCCATATGTTTAGTCAAAATATTAATAGTGTTAGTGTCAACATTTTTTTTCCTCAGCAACATTTTTCTTTTGTCATTCATCAGTCATATCTTTTTATACCTTTTCCATTTTGTTACTGCAGTAGTTTTGTACACCTTGTATGTTAGTTCATTTAAAATTTTTTTTTCACTTTTAATGTGGTGAATTCTTCCCAGACCAGCCATTTGTAAGGAAGTTTGTGTGTGACAGTAGCCAGAGCAGTGTTCCAGGTGAATGGGAAACACTTGTAATGACACAAATTTGTGTATGTGCATGAATTCTTTTAGCCTTTATTTCTCCTAGCCAGGTTATTTCCACACTGAAGGGCAACTCACTTTGTTGAGTAGCTCTTCTTACCCCTGCTTCAACTGGAGGTCGAGTCCTAAAAATATGAATTATCTGTGAGATTCCTCATCTATTTCCACCTTCCAGTTTCTTGAGACCTTGGGAAAATGTGGTCCAGGGTGCTTCTGCTGTCAGAATAAGCACTTTATCTCCCTTTTTCTCAAATGGATTTGCTCCTCAGGATGTGACCACTTATTTTAGAGAGCAATTTTCTGTTGTCTCAGATCTGCAACTGTGGGTGTCTTTAACTTCCTCTTCTTTCACTTCCAATTTAACTTTCATTTATATTAGGAAGTTTGTTCTCATGCAATATGCTTTAGGGTTATGGATGTCTTCTGATTTAATGTAAGGAATGTGAATTCCTGATTTTTCACTTTTATTAATGGTTTTGGATTATTTCCAAGAAGAAAAAAGGGGCAAAGACTGTATTTTTCCTCCGCAATTTACAAATAAGAAGGTGTGTAACAACCTTTTGAGGAACTAAAGCAAATGCCAAGAAGCAAGCTTCCTTGAAACAATTACAGTTCATACACAAATATTTAACACAAAACTTATTGCCAATCTGTACTTTTATGTTAAATGGTAGTATTAAAACTTCCGCAAAAGATGTAAAACTAGGGTGCGTTAGTTTCTTAGCTGTGTGGTAACAAATTACCACAAACTGAAGGGCTTAAAAATGACAGAAATTTAGGCTGGAAGCGGTTGTTCATGCCTGTAATGTCAGCACTTTGGGAGGTCGAGGTGGGTGTATCATCCGAGGTCAGGAGTTCGAGACCAGCCTGGCAAACATGGTGAAACCCTGTCTCTCCTAAAAATACAAAAATTAGCCAGGCATGGCAGGTACTTGTAATCCCAGCTACTTGGGAGGCTGAGGCAGGAGAATCGCTTGATTCCGGGAGGTGGAGATTGCAGTGAACCAAGATCACGCCACTGCACTCCAGCCTGGGTGACAGAGTCAAAAAAAAAAAAAAAAAACCCAGAAATTAATTGAAACAAAGGTGTTGGAAGGGCCATGTTGCCTCCAAAGCTTCTAGGGAAGCAATCTTCCTTGTGTTTTTTAGCTTCTGGTAGCCCGTGATGTTACTTGGCTCATAGAAGCATATTTCTAATCTGTGCCTCTGGCTTTCACAAAACTGTCTTCCTGTGTGTCTTTGTGTCTCTCCTCTTGTTATAAGGACATAAAACGTATTGGCACCAATATGACCTCATCTTAATTTAACTAATTACATCTGCAATGACCCTATTTGAAATGAGGTCAAATCCTGAGGTATCAAAGTTAGAACGTCAACATATCTTTTTGGGCAACATAATTTTGGCCCCATAACATGGGGCCTACTATCTTTTGGTAGATACTGGATTAGCTGATTGTTTTAACTCATTCATAGTTTATTTTTTAATAGATAAGCAAGGCTTGTGAAACGATCTTTAAAAAACACAAACATTGTTCTCTTTATGATAACTATATCAAACCATTGAGACGTGGATTTCCTTGTTTTAATACTGTGTCTATATTTGTATATTTTTAAAGTTGGGTAAAAGATGTTTGGAGACCTGACAGTGATTATTATATCAAGAGATTTAAATACAATCCAGCATTTCCTAGCTATCTATTTTATGGACAGATGAATACTTAGTAAGTCTTTAAAAGTTGTTACCATGCAGTCAAAGAAATGGAGGCCTTGGAATAGTGCTTTGTTTTAGTTTGTGGGTAAATGAAACCTATTAAGCTCTGGCTTTTGTAATTTGACAATTTGAATGAGGTAATTATTTCAGTTAATGGGTAGGTGGTAATATTATTTGAATAAATCATCCTTTTTGAAATAATAAAAAATAAACTATTTTTTAAAATTATCTTTAAAAAGTCACCATAGAACTTAAAAAATAGTAGGGGAACCCCACAGATCAATTTTTGTTTGACCAACTATATCCAGAATAGGAAGTGAAATATTGGAGTGCCACACCTGTTTATGCCATGAAGGCATTGTTGACACTGCACACTTAGGAAAATCAAGCATGCAGGTAAGGGAAACAGTCAGGGCCTAGGGTCTATCCATGTTGGAGATCTTCATAAAAGACCCTCGCTGCATTAAGCCAGGGTGAGAGCAAACTAGAATGGAACCCATTCCATCACCCAGCAGATGATGGGAACTGTTAAGGAAAGGACCCCTCCTTAAGAAAAGGAGGGGTCCTTTTCTGAACAGGTGGGGTGGGAGGATTCTTTGTTGCTGAGGAAAAAAAGAGAACAATGACAAAAATCCTTTAGAAGTTGTGGCCACATACAATCTTGCATGAATTTACACCTTGTGTATGCATAGCCTAGCTTGGTCAGGTGATCTCAAGTTATAATGTAGTTTAAGATGATTTCCAACTGGCAATGCCCGAGATGCTGGCATAAGGAAATGTGAACCATATTGAATAAAGGTAATTTACGCAAATTATTTTTTCTTTTTTTAATTTTTGTATTCTTTTTTTTCTTTTTTTTATTATACTTTAAGTTTTAGGGTACATGTGCACAACGTGCAGGTTTGTTACATATGTATATGTGTGCCATGTTGGTGTGCTGCATCCATTAACTCGTCATTTACATTAGGTATATCTGCTAATGCTATCCCTCCCTTCTCCCCCCACCCCACAACAGGCCCCAGTGTGTGATGTTCCTCTTCCTGTGTCCATGTGTTCTCATTGTTCAATTCCCACCTATGAGTGAGAACATGCGGTGTTTGGTTTTTTGTCCTTGCAGTTCAACCATTGTGGAAGTCAGTGTGGCGATTCCTCAGGGATCTAGAACTAGAAATACCATTTGACCCAGCCATCCCATTACTGGGTATACACCCAAAGGATTATAAATCATGCTGCTATAAAGACACATGCACATATATGTTTATTACGGCACTTTTCACAATAACAAAGACTTGGAACCAACCCAAATGTCCAACGATAGACTGGATTAAGAAAATGTGGCACATATACACCATGGAATACTATGCAGCCATAAAAAATGATGAGTTCATGTCCTTTGTAGGGACATGGATGAAGCTGGAAACCATCATTCTCAGCAAACTACCACAAATTGTTTTTTAAAGACAATGACAAATAAGGAGTCAATAATAGCTAAGTACATAAGGAAACAATGCAAAAGGTACAAAAACCAATGGAAAAAATAGACAATTATAACAGCTTCAATCAGATTCAGATATTGGAATGATAAGATTAGATACTAAAGCAATTATATTCCATGTGTTTAAATAAATAAATGAGAAGATGAAAATATCTGCAGAAAATAGGAAATTATAAAAAGGAACATAAATTTGAAATAGAACAGCAGAAATTCTAGAAAAAATATATTGTCAATGAACATATTTGTTAGCATATTGGATGCAGTAGAGAAGAGGTAACTAGTGGAATGAATTATCCAGAATGCAACACAGAGCAATGAGAAAGAAATACAAAAGAGTAGGTAAGAATGACACTATAAAAAACTGCCAAGATCTTACATTCCTATAATCAGAGTCCAAAAAGAAGAGAATATTTTCTCTTGTGGATATGGCAAAGGCCACATCTGTAGGGACAATGGCTCAGAATGTTTCAGAAATGATGAGAGACATTAATTCTTAGGTTCAAGAGACCCAATTAATCCTAAATTTGATTAATACAAAGAAATATACACTTTGAAATCATAGTGAAGATGAAGAAAACCAAATAAAAAGAGAAACAATTTTTAAAAGCCAGCAAAAAGAGAAGAAAAAAAGAAAAGCAAAAGAAGTAAAAGAAAAAGGATAAGAAAAATAGAGAAAAATTATTTCCAAAGGAAGAACAGTAAAATAACTGATTTCTCAACAGTGATAATGAAAGCCTGAAGATAGTGGAATAATAACCTTACTATGTTTAAGAAACACAACTTCCAATCTAAAATTCCGCAAGCATCTTTCAGGATGCTTGATAAATAAAGACAAAGTAGATAAATAAAAACAATGTGTTTATGACCAACAAACTTTCATGAAGGAAATAGTAAAACTGTACTTTAGAATAAAAAAAAAATGTTCTTAGAAGGGAGACCTGAAATATAAGGGAAAATAAAATTTTCCTTTAAAGATTTAAAAAGCCAAAAATAGTAAATATAATCAATTATCTATGCATTAACATATAAGTTAAGGTATTAAAGAGCAGTTGAGTTGTTTATCCAAAAAGTGGGTAAAATTTTTATGTATGCATTTTTTAGTATCTACAATATCACTTTTAAAACTGTACAACTTTCAGACTAGCAGCGGGTTTCAAACAACATAATAAAAAGTAATGCAAATAGGGACAAGAAGGGGGAGAAAAGGAACAAGTGGCAAAAGAGAAAAGACAAATTAGAAGGTGAACACACACAAAAAATTATTATTATTATTTTTGGAGATGGAGTTTCACTCTTGTCACCCAGGTTGGAGTGCAGTTGTGCTATCCCAGCTCACTGCAACCTCTACCCCCTAGGTTCAACAGATTCTCCTGCCTCAGCCTCCTGAGTAGCTGAGATTACAGGCGCCTGCCACCACACCCAGCTAATTTTTGTATTTTTGGTAGAGATGGGGTTTCACCATGTTGGCCAAACTGGTCTTGAACTGCTGACCTCAGGTGATCTGCCTGCCTCAGCCTCCCAAAGCGCTGGGATTACAGGCGTGAGCCACTGCACCTGGCCTAAAAAAGTTATTAATTGAACATAAATGAACGAAATATACCAGTTGAAAGTCAAAGAACTTCAGCGTATGGAAATCAATGATCAAATATAAAAGACATGTTTAAAACATAGGATATAGAAAAGTTGAAGTAAAAAGTTTGTCAACTTTCTTTTGATTACTGCTTACATATCTTTTTTGTCCTTTTATCAATATTAAGAATGTAAAAGGTGATATTATAGATATAATAGACTAACAGAAAAGAGAGAGATGTTATACCAATACTTTTGAAAATTTAGACATAATAAAAATATTCTGGAAAAATATGCTGTACCCAACTGACTTAAAAAAAAACCTCAAGAATCCATGATGCATTCAAAGAATAAATAACTCTAATCTCATATTTCAGAGGATATTAAAAGTTTATATTTCAGAAATAGAAAAGATTCATATTAATCTAGGTCTAATCAAGAGACATAAACAATAGAGTGATTTAATTAAGGGGAAGTATAATATAAAGAATTATTAAGCCTCGATAAAAGAATAACTATTAGATTTAAGAGAACTCTACAGGGTTCCCTAAGGCTGACAGAGAGTACCTAGGGATGGGAAAACTTAGACCCCTTCTCCCCCAAGGCTGGGATTCAGACTTCATTAGAGAAGGTATAGTTGCAGACCACTGGATGGCAGAAAAGTTCACTGTGTGCCTGAGCCAATCCACAGGCACTGTATAAGCAGGAAGTATTCCTCTGGGTTGCAAGCAGGTCTCAGCCAGGGGCAGGTACACAGGCATGCAGGTGTGCAGAGGAAGTAGGGATGCTACTGTGGGTGGGAGGCCTGGAATGCCTGGTGTCCACATCAGGAGGGTAATGGAAGACAAACCTCTGGGAGGGGATAGGTGAGGAGAGGGAGTTGGGTGCCACTGTTGGCAGGAGGTCTGGAGTGTGATGTCTTTACTGCAAGGGCCTTGGGAAAGTAATCTCCAGGTCAGTCTGGGGCTATGAGTTTGCCAAGGGATCTACACCCCATATGCACATTTGATATACTAAAAAGGCAGTGCTACATATGAATGGAAAAAGAAGGGATTTTTCAATACACGATAGAGAAATTATCATCATAGAAAAAGGTGAAATTGGACAGCTGTCTCACATCACCTTACTCTTGGGTAGTACTGATTTAAGGGGAGCATCAGAGGGGCTCCTGGATTGCTTGAAATGTTCTGGTTCTTAATCTAAGCACTATTAACCAAGACATTGTGAAAATTCATTAAGTTGAATTCTTATGTTCAATTTTCTGCATGAAATTTCAATTAAAAAGTTAAAAATGTGAATCTTTTAACTTCTGCAGACAATATAGGAAAATACACTGATTTTGCAGTAGGACAGGATTTCTTAAAGAAGATGCATAATCACAACATCAATTAAAAAACTGATTAAGTTACATTAAAATTAAGAACTTCTGTTCATCAAATAAAGGAGTGAAATCATAGCTACTCTGGCTTGCAAAAAATTGTAATACATATAACCAACAATTTTTAAAAACCTACATGTATAAGACATTTCTGGAAACTAAAGAGTAAATGAGGAGGAACCCAACAGAAAACTGGACTGAGGACTAGAAAAGGAGTTTTAAAATGAAGAAATCCAAATCCTTTATAAACTTATAGAAAGATGCTCGAACTCATCAGTGATTAAGAATATGCAAAGCAAATCTAGGAGAGTCCAGTCTATAACCACCAGATAGTTATAGATCTAAAAGACTGGCAGTGCAAAGTGTAGGTGAGGATACAGAAGGCTGGTATACTTCTGGTGCCAAGTAAAATTTAATTCCAGTGATTGCACTCTTTAGGTTATATTCTGGAGAAGTGCTTCTCTTATTTCTCTCTGCGTACTATTCACACAGACTTTAACATGCAAATGAGTGTTGTTAAAATGGAAATTCTTATTCAGTAGGTCTGGAATGAGGCCTGAGCATCTGCATTTCTATCAAGCTCCCACATGTTGAAGGTTCTGCTAATCCGTGGACCACACTAACACAGCCCTAGAGAACCTCTTGCATTTGTACCCCAGGATGAACATACAGGAATGTTCACAGCAGCATACTCTGTAATAACCTCAAACTGGTAACAATTCAAATGTCACCAACAGTTCAATAGATATATAAATTGCGGAAAATGCATTCAAGATAAGAGTATATAACAAGAAAGTAGACAATCTACATTTGCATGCAACAACAGGAATCAGTTTTATAAACAATGTTTATCAATAAAAGCAAAACATAAAAGTATTTTGGTAGATCAAATTCAAATAAAAAGTTAAAGCTAAGATTTATAGTTTAACACCATTGGCAAGTTTATTTCTTTTAAGAAGGCAAATATTTACAAGAAAAGTTAGGAAAGTCGTTAGCTCTTGGGGGAGGAAAAGTACTTTGGGAAGGAAGGATTCTAGGGTGGTAGCATCTATATTGTTTCTGCTAAGTGGCCCACTATCAAAAGCTGTAGGTATATATTTAAATGCTTTTCTCTGTGTTATATTTTACAATAGTAGATTTTAAAAAAACCTAATTTACTAGAAAAGGAGATGCTGAGCATCTATTTTGCTAGACGCTTTGGGAATAGGAAATTTTAGGGTGACCAACTGGCCCAGTTTGCCTTAAACCGAGCTGTTTCTTGGAGCATGATTTTCAATGCTAATACCAAGGCAGTCTTGGGCAAACTGGATGTTTGGTCACCATGTATCCATTTAGACCACTTTATCACTAAAAAGTCCATTAAATGTGAAGAGTAAGGCCTTGATATTTCATCAGTTAATATAAAATTATGATCAGAAATACATTAAGAGTAAGAAGGCGGAGTCTGTAAACCCAGGAATTAAAGCAAGAATCTAAAGTGTAACCCACTGGAGAGATTTATTTGAAGTTTCTAGTTATAGCATCTAGGAAAAGGCCACAGTATTAAACAATTACTTGTTTTTTACAAGCTCCTAACTGCCAAGGCTTGTCCTGACTGACAAGCCTCTCTGGATACCATTGGCAACTTCTGGGTTTTGACTGGGTTTTCTCACTTACACCCTCCTGTTTGGATAAACAGTGCTCGGTACTTAAGCCATAGAGATCTCTAAAAAGGATTTGAGTACCCTGATAACATAAGTCTCAGAGCCTGATCTCATTTTTATTGTTGCTGTATTCTGAGAAACAGAATCTCTTTCACTCCCTGGTGGACCTACTCACCAACCTTTAATGTCCAGCTTAAATGTCTTATCACCTGTGGAGCTATCCCTAGACTTCCTCTGGTAGAGTTGCTTTGTCTTTGAGCAAGCCTCCATAACATACATCTATGATAACACTTAGCACAAAGTGATAGTGAATTTTTAAAATTTACTTTTCCCCATTAGATGGTATACTTTTTAAAGCCTGGGGCTTCTTCTTGTTCATCTTGCATTGTCAACACTTGGTACATGCCTGACACAAAGTAGGTATTCAGTGTTTATCTGCATCTAATAAATATGAAATAAATACCTGCTGAGGTTGTAGACAATAACTCCATGTGTTAAACTGAAATACTAGGCGTTACAATTAGTTTGGCCCAAAGAAAACCATGCTATGTTGTTGTTCCTATGTCTGGTTAAGTATTGCTTGTTTGGTTGAATGTAACTGCGGTAAATAATGTTTTGATTTTTTTTTAAGTTAAAAAAAGGAAAAAATTTAAAAAATTTAAAAAAGGTCAGTACTGATCTGTAGGCTACTGATTCTTATTGAATATAAATGTCTTAGAATGTAAACCACTCTAGGGCAGGTACTATATTGTGTATGAGTTCTGCTAAGTAACCACCAGTTATTACAATTTTTTTAAAAAAAGTAATGTACGTTTTCTCTCTAGAATACATATGGCAAAGAGTGATACAAATTTTATGAACCAGTAGACTTGTTTGTGTCCCTAAATATAATTTTGAATCTATCCCAAATCTAAGGAGAATTATTCATTATTATGTTCTAACTCATAGCGAAACGAAAGTCATTCTCAAATTTAATGTACTGGAACAGTATTCTAGTGTTCTAAAACGTACTTTAAACCAATGAGGATCTCTGTTGTCTTTGGATGGCTGAGCTTTGAAGGAGCTCCAAATTTTCCTGTGTAGTCCATAGATGAGTTTATAGTTTAGATATATGAAGGCAATAACAGTTGGGATCACAGAATATCTCTTATTTGCTGAAGGAGGAAAATACTTTTTGTCATTCCTGGTTACTTTGCAAGAGGTAAAATATTTCATTGCCTTAAAGTTGGAATTAATTTATAGCAACTATTCGAAGAATCTATTCAATTACACACCAATGGGTATGAAAATAGATTTATTTTACGACCTCTCATTTTTATCAGTTTGTGCTAAGCTGTGTCCACTGGGAAATACAGTGGCTATATATATGCAATGTTTCTTTCAAGCATTTCATATATATGAATCTTTTAAACATGAGGTAGTAAAATTATGCTGGCAAAATATACTATAATTCTATTGTTTTAAAATAATAAGCAAAGTTGGTTTGGCTTGAAAGTTTACTGAAGCTTAGCAGTTCTTCAAAGTGCCATTTATTAAATGTCATATTAATTAGTTAAACTATCAGCCCTATAAAGCAACTCTCCGTGCAAGCATTTTCTGATTCTTTTCCCCCTCGTTCACTGTCTGGACTATTTCTTCTTGAGTATACACACTGAGGATTTAACTTTGTCCACAGATAGACAAGGTATTAATGTTGGTTAATTTATCTACAGTGAAATTGTTGAACTAATTTTTAGAATACAAAATCAAGATCTTACCCCTTAATTTGCCTTTTTAAAAAGGCAATTTCCCAAACAGATTAATGATCTTTTTTTATCCCCAAGGTAGTTTCTCTGGCATATGTTTTAAAAATTGGAGTTAATAATTGATGACCCTAGTAAATTACAGTCATGCTATATAACACGTTGTAAGCTTTATCTGACTTAAGGAATAGGAAAGAAACCAAACCATGGAAATAAGGATAATTTTAATGTTCTAAATTTTTCATTTTCTGATATAATAATATTTTGTTGAAATCCTCTGTAGAGGAAAATATGGTTGGGAAATATATTGAAAAAACATTTAAGTGACTGATGCATTTTTCTTTTATTGTGTTTAAAAAATGAGAACATTTACATCCCATTTACAAAAAGAGAAAACACACAAACTTTAAAAAATATTTTTGCTTATGTTTTTCATGATCTTTAATTGCCCCAAATCATTTTCATCTAATTGTATATGAATGAAAGTGTTTTTCTTCAATTAATTTGTAGGACATTAATTTTTAAAATGGTATTTATAATTTTTCTTCATTTTCAGTGTTTCTGAAAGTACATAATTAAATATAGGGAAGGATTTTGTGGGTGATTGTAATATCCTGGGTCTTTTAAAAGTAATTTCAATCAGAATTAATAAATAGATGTAGAGAAAAACATTAAATAAACTGGCTAAATAACATAATTGTTTTACCTTTTTGTTATAATTCTTTTCTATTTTTCTGTTGTTTTGTTTTCTCATAGTTAGTTTAATATTTGAGCATCAATTAAAATGAGAACACTTTTTTTTGAAACAAGAGTCTCACTCTGTCACCCAGGCTGGAGTGCAGTGGCATGATAGCTCACTGCAACCTCTTCCTCCTTGGTTCAAGTGATTCTCCTGCCTCAGCCTCCTGAGTATCTGGGACTACAGGTGTGCAACACCACGCTCGGCTAATTTTTGTATTTTTGGTGTGGACAGGGTTTTACCATGTTGACCAGACTGGTCTTGAACTCCTGACCTTAGATGATCCACTGGCCTCGGCCCCCTAAAGTGCTGGGATTATATAGATGTGAGCCACTGCGCCTGGCTGAAAGGTGGACATTTTCTGAAAGGTGGATCAGGGATGTTATCCGGTTGTTAAAAAACTTTTAATATATTCTCGACTCCATTAAATTGTCTTTGTATCAAAAGATTGGCCTCAAAATAAGAGAAAAAAAATCACACAAACACAACGTTGGATAAAAAGGATAACTTCTTTAGAAAAACTGAAGATGTTAACTATGGGAAAAGCCTTAAAGATGATATAGAAATGCAAAATGTGGTTAGAATTTAAGCAGTCCAGAAGGAAGACAGTTTTAAAGAAAAGATAATTTTCAAGCAAGATAAGGAAGAATATTAAGAGAAGAGAAGATGATAGCTTTGCCTTTTTCTAAAATGGTAGAGGAAACCACTTTCATCTACTTCTCATGGTGAATATGAGGACCAGGTGAGATTGTATATGTAGAGGTTAATTTATAAATTGTGAAGCATTAAACTTTATTGATTACTGTGTTTAGAATAAAGTGTTAATACTTGAATTTTTGAATAATTTAATACAATATTGTTCTGCATTTTAAAGTAACTAATAGAGTATAACTGGATTGTTTGTAACACAAAGGATACATGCTTGAGGGGATTAATATCCAATTTTCCATGATGTGATTATTATGTGTTACATGCCTATACCAAAATATCTCAAGCACTCCATAAATATATATGCCTACTATGTACCCACACATTTTTTAAATTAAAACAATTTTCTAAAATTCTAAAGCCAATTTAAAATAACCACAAGAATTTTGATTCTCAGTATACTTTGAAATCCACCTGAAGGCAACATTCAAGAAATAATTTTTAAACTTATTGCATGTGCTAGTGAAAGAAAAAGAGCTTAATTTCAGAAAATTGAGTTGGCTACTTTAGATTTTGAAATGCTCTCATTTATTTTGCAAATATTTTATTTTAAAGATGTAGTTGTCTCATTCTGTCACCTAGGCTGGAGTGCAGTGGTGTGGTCTGGCTCAATGCAACCTCCACCTCGCTGTCTCGAGGGATCCTCCCACTTCAGCCTTCCAAGTAGCTGGGACTACAGATGCATGCCACTATGCCTGGCTAATTTTTTTATTTTTAATTTTTTTGTAGAGCTAGAGTTTTGCCATATTTCCCAGGCTGGTCTCAAACTCCTGGGATCAAGTGTTCTACCCACCTCAGCCTCCCAAAGTGCTGGGATTATAGGCATGAGCCACTGCACCTGGCCTAAAGATGAACTTTAAATTAAGAAAGTATCTTTAAAATACTTGGTAGGAGCTTTTAACCTTTCAGGAATATGACTCAAATTTGATTTGGCACCATAACATGAATAATATAAATTGCTTATGTGGAGGTACTAATAGAAGATAAGATAAGAATATTTAACTTGTCTTCTTCTTCTCCTTCTCCTTCTTCTTCTTCTTCTTTTTTTTTTTTTTTTAAGACAGGATCTCACTCTGTTTTCCAGGCTGGAGTGCAGCGGCACGATCATAGCTCACTGCAGCCTCGATCTCCCGGGCTCAAGTAATCCTCCCACCTCAGCCTCCTGAGTAGATGGGACCACAGCTGCGTGCCACCATGTGCAGCTAATTTTTAAATTTTTTGTAGAGACAGGTCTCCCTGTGTTGCCCAGGCTGGTCACAAACCAGTGGGCTCAAGCGATCCTCCTGTCTTGGCCTCCCAAAGTGCTGGTATTATAGGCGTGAGCCCCTGCCCCAATCCCTGTCTTCATTTTTTGATTGAAATATAATTTATATTCAGTGAATGACCAGATCTCAAACGTGCCTTTCAGTCAGTTTTGGCAAGTAGACGTCACGTTAGAAAGTTCCCTTTGGCTCCTTCTCAATTTACCCTTGCTCCACTCTCTACCTCTAGAAGTAAATGCTGATCTGAGTTTAGTTTTGCCAGTTTAGGACTTAGAAGCAGGCAAAACTTTTTGCCAGTTTAGGACTTAGAAGCAGGCAAAACTAAACCCTGATAGTGGAGAGTTTAAGCTGATGGTAAAGCCACGTGATGCTTTCTGTCCAGGTTAGTATTTCAGGGCCCTGCTCTCCTTCTTGGTGTATGCATGTGCTGCTCACATCCACTATTTTGGAACAGCCTTGATGAATCAGCAGTTGCTATTTAGATAACTGGCTAATTGGATCTACCTAGGCTAAGCTAATTCACTGATTGGAATTAGTCAATAGCTGATATATGAAATCCTACAGTACGTATATTTTCTTGCCTTGCTGCTTTTAATTAGCATAATATTTTTAGATTTATCCATGTTTTTGCATATATCAGTAATTCATTCTTTTTATTAACGAGTAGTAGTCCATTGTTTGACTATACCACAGTGTATCAATTCATTATATTGTTGAACATCTATCTTATTTCCAGGTTTTATCTAGTATAAAGCTTCTACCAGCATTTGTTTACTCATATTTGTGTGGGCATATGTATTCATTTTTTTAATACCTGGCTGTGCAATTGCTGGATCATAGCATAGATGTATGTTTACTTAAGAAACAAAAGAGTTTTCCCACATACCATTTTACACTCTCATCAGCCATCTATGAGTGTTTCAGTTGCTCCACATCCTCTTCTACATTTTATGTTGTCAATCTCATTTTAATCATGTTAGTGGGTTTACCCATTGGGGTTTTATTTTACACATCCTTGCCTGATGACTAATGATGCTAGGCACTTTCTCACATGCATATTTTTTATTTGTCTATTTTCTATTGTGAATAATCTGTGTCCTTTGCCCATTTTAAAAATCGAGTTGTCTTTTTATTATTGAATTGCAGAACTCTGTATATATTCTGAATTTAAGTCCTTTGTCATGTGTTGTGAATATTTACTCACAGTCTGTAGCTTGCCTACTTTTTTCTTGCCTTTTCTTATGAGCAGTTTTTATTTTTGATTAAGTCCAATTTTTCCATTTTTAAAATAGTGTGATTTTGTTTTGTCTGTTCCAGGGTTGTGAATATTTTCTATAGTTATTCTTCGGTAGCTTTGTTGTTTTAGCTTACATATTTTGACCTATGAGCCACCTCAAACTGATTTGTGTGTGTGGTTTAAGATAGTACCATTTGTTGAGGAGAGTTTTCCTTCTCCATTGAATTGCTTTGGTACCTTTGTCTTTGATATTATATATGCAGGTCGATTTAGGTACTCTCTGTTCTGTTCCATTGGTCTGTTTGTATATCCTCTTGCTAATACCGTATTATCTTAATACTGTAGCTTTATATTAAGTCTTGAAGTCATGTCATGTATGCCTTCCAGTTTTGTTTCTTTTTAAGATTGTTTTAGCTATTCTTGTTTCTTTTGCCTGTCCAGGTAAAATTTTAAATTATCTTGTCAATTTTCAGAAAAATCCTGCTGTGATTTTAATAGGGATTACTTTGAATCTATATATGAATTGAAGGGACATGGAATAACAATCTTAAAATTAAGTCTTCAATCCATGAGCATAGTGTATCTCTTTATTAATTTAGGCCTTCTTTAATCTCTCAGCAATGTTCTATAGTTTGAGTGTACAGTTCTTACATGCTATTTATTAAATTTACCCTTAATACTCAAAGTCTTGAAACTATTATAATTAATGTTGATTTTACATTTTTCTAATTGTTTCAGTTACTATGTAGATTACAATTAATTTTTAATTTACTTTGTATACTGTAACATTGCTAAATTCACTTTCTTTTTTTTTTTTTTTTCTTTTTTTTTTTTGAGACGGAGTCTCGCTCTGTCGCCCAGGCCGGACTGCGGACTGCAGTGGCGCAATCTCGGCTCACTGCAAGCTCCGCTTCCCGGGTTCACGCCATTCTCCTGCCTCAGCCTCCCGAGTAGCTGGGACTACAGGCGCCTGCCACCGCGCCCGGCTAATTTTTTGTATTTTTAGTAGAGGCGGGGTTTCACCTTGTTAGCCAGGATGGTCTCGATCTCCTGACCTCATGATCCACCCGCCTCGGCCTCCCAAAGTGCTGGGATTACAGGCGTGAGCCACCGCGCCCGGCCGCTAAATTCACTTTCTAGTTCTGCTAGTTTTCTTTCGGATTTATCAGGATTTCTACATACTTGGTCATATCATCTGTTAATAAAAACAGCTTTACTCCCTGCTCCCCAATTTTGTGTCTACTTATCATTTTCTTATTTTATTTAACCGACTAGAAACTCTAGCACAATGCTGAATAGAAGCAGTGATTATAGACCTCCTGCCTTATTTTTAAATCTTAGGCAAGATTTAAAAATAAAAAATATTTAAAAAAATAATTGCCTGCTATCAGTGTAGAGGTGGGGCATGTGTGGCTTTTCTGGTCCTTCTCAGCAGCATTTATGCAGTGTTTGGATTGGAGATAGACTTCTCTGGGTTCTTCTGCTCCACTTCCAAATCAAAAGAGGATCCACACACGTCTATCATGGAGGAGGTCTCTCTTAGGTCTCCTCTCCTGCCACCAGTCTTTCTTGTTGCCAGTCAGTGGAAGCCCTACGTAAGAGTAGGAGAGTCAGTGCAGACACCCCTTTTGTCCAGGGCTTCTGAGGATTCTGTACTCTCAAATTGGGTCACAATTGGCCTTTAAAGATTAATTAAAATTTTATCTGTTTTCTTCTTGCCTGCTTCTGTGGTGGCCATCTCTTCCTCTTTGGTCTGCCCAAGGTATTATAGTATTGTGTTCCATCTCTGTGGAGGAGTTTGTCAACTTTGCATTGCAGATCATCAGACTGCCTTGTGACCATAGCACTCTAGCTGAAAAACGAAATCATTATTTTGTAGACTGTCTGGTTCGTTCTCATTGTTATAGTGGGAAAGATCTTTTTTTATGACATTCTATGTCTAAAGTAAACATAGAACTCTACGTGTTTTAAGATTTTTAAATGATATTTCTTAATATTATACCTAAAAGTTGGTGTAATGCATTTGATTTTTAAAATCTCTTATTCTGTGAGGCTGAGTTCAATCTCTCACATCTATTTCCTCTATTACTAGAAATAATGATACTGGAAATGCTTGATTAATTGATGAGCCCCAATTTAAAGAAATATACAGGTATTTCTATAATTTATAGAATAATGAACTATGAGTCAAAAAACAGAGTTAGAATCTCATCAGATTATCAATATATTCTGAGTTTCAGTTTTTTGCTTTTCTGGGACTGGAGAGGTAATTCTCGTTTTTATCTACCTCTCAGTGGACATAAGGCTAAGATGAGAAGAGGCATGCAGGTGTTATTTGTAAATTTTTAATATGCAAAATAGATAAGTTAATGATAAGCTATTTTCAGAAAGGAATATACATAATTAAAATTGGAAACTTTGAAATGAATTTTTATTCTAATAGCTTAACATTCATAATACTTTATGACCTTTTTGTAGTAGGCAGGAGAGGGCATATTTTATACATAGAAATAATTGACAAATATATATTGAGTACCTGCTATCTGGGCTGGATGCACTGCTTTTTGCTGGAGAGATACTGGAGAACAAAGTAAAGATGTTGACCTAGTGACACTTACATTCTAGTTGAGAAGATAGCTAATAAGCAAGTAAACACATTTCTGATGCTTTGCTCTAACTGAGAATAGTTCTGATCTAGGAATTTACAGTATCTTCAACAGTCACCCTGTGAGGATCTGGAGAGTTGCTTGGGAGATTGCTGAGATATGCCTCCTTGCACTTTATAATGCAGTTCCATTCTTTCTTTTTTAAAGTCACACTTTGTTGGAAAAGTAGTATTATTCATGTTTTGCTGTGAGTCTGATCTCTTTTCCTCATGAATAGATGTTTAATTCAAACTTTTCTTGGCATTGGAAAAGTTTGTGCATTTTGGAATAAAGTAAAAAACCATTTTATTATGGAAAATCTAAATATACAAAAGTAAAAAAACTAGGATAATAAATCCACAAATATTCATCATCCAGTTCCAACAATTATGAATTCATGGCCAGTATTATTTTATCCATGCACCCATCCAATTCCCTTCTCAGCTTGGATTAGATGAGGCAAATTCTTTGATATCCATTCATAAATATTTTTCAGCTTGTATTATAAAAGATGAAGAATCTCTTTTTAAAGCACAATCAAAATACATCACCTAAAATTAACAACTTATTAATATGAACTAATATATAGTAATTGTTCTAATGTCCGTGTTTCATTATATTTGATAGAGGCTTCATTCAAAGGCAGATGGGTTTGTTACATCTTTTTTTGCTTCCATCTTTTAAAAGGTTAAAGGCTTTTGTTATAAGTTTGCAGAATGAAAGTGAAAATGTCATCTGAGTTTTAAAGGCAAAGAAGTGTTGACTAAGGACTTTTTGTTCATGTTTTGAAACATGACCATACGAAATGCTGTGCTATGTATATAGGAATACAAATTAATTTTAGATGTCATCCATGCCTTATAAGGAATTTACAGTCTTGTGGCTGAGTTAGAATACAAGAAAACATAATCCCTTTTGTAATCTACAATACAAGGCAATGGGATGTGTTCTGTTCCAGTGGTGGAGATTAGCAGTTCTCATTCTCCATGGTCATTCATGTTAGCATATCAGGATCAGTGAAGTGATTGCAAGGTATGTTTTCTAAATACTGAAAAGAAAAAGCTCACTTTGGGAGGCCGAGGTGGGCAGATCACTTGAGTTTGGGAGTTTGAGACCAGCTAGCCAACATGGTGAAACCCCGTCTCTACTAAAAATACAAAAATTAGCCAGGTGTGGTGGCGTGTACCTATAATTCCAGCTACTCAGGAGGCTAAGGCAGGAGAATCGCTTGAACCTGGGAGGCAGAGTTTGCAGTGAGCCGAGATCATGCTACTGCACTCCAGTCTGGGCAACAGAGTCAGAGTCTGTCTCAAATAAATAAATAATAAAAGAAAAAAAAGAAAAAGAAAAAGATAAAGCTGAGAATTATTTAACCTTTTAATAATTAGAGTAGATTCAGGGTTATCTTTGTTATCACATAGTCACATTCCTTTGAATTCAAATGTACCATCATGAGTGGAAAGAAAAAAAATGACGGTGTAGCTTGGCCTTGAAAGTTGCCCATACTTTTGGAAGGTGGAGATCAGTGAGGATGGGTTATTGGGGGACTGTGGCATAGGCAACTGTGTGGAGATGTGTTTTCAAAGTTATTTCAGGTTAAGGTCGTAGAGTAGTTTAACTGGAGGAAAGGTTCATATGTGGACATAGTAGTTAGTAAGACCAGTAAAGTAGATTGAAAAATTAACTTAATTTTGTTCTTAATTATTCTTAAAATTTCTATGCAAGTAATACATATTATGTTTCTCAAAAGAACCACATTATGTTGAATTTGATCTGTTGGTGTGTAGGAGAGAGAAGACAGAGCATCTGTGGAATATTTTATTAGTATCATCAATTTTCAATTATTAGTAATAATGGAAACAGAATCCATGTGGCTATCTGAGCTTTATAGATAACACCTAAAGCATTAATATTCAGAATTTTCTTCATCCTCTTAAGACTTAGCCTTTTACTTATATTGATAACAAGTAGAAATAATGATTTGTGTTTCATTTTGCTTTCTTTCTGATGAAAGGACTGAAAAGGATAGGTAGAATTTGGCTAATCCGTACATCCAATAATTGTAAACATTGATCACAATAATAGAAAGTCTTCGCCTTAGCTCATTTCACTGTTCTTGTTTCTTATATTTATGTGTGATATTTGCTTTTTTTTTTTTTTTTTTTTTTTTTGAGACGGAGTCTCGCTCTGTCGCCCAGGCTGGACTGCGGACTGCAGTGGCGCAATCTCGGCTCACTGCAAGCTCCGCTTCCCGGGTTCACGCCATTCTCCTGCCTCAGCCTCCCGAGTAGCTGGGACTACAGGCGCCCGCCACCGCGCCCGGCTAATTTTTTGTATTTTTAGTAGAGACGGGGTTTCACCTTGTTAGCCAGGATGGTCTCGATCTCCTGACCTCATGATCCACCCGCCTCGGCCTCCCAAAGTGCTGGGATTACAGGCGTGAGCCACCGCGCCCGGCCGATATTTGCTTTATATTTATCTTTTACTTTAGCTTTATCACTTGGACTTCGTGAGCCTCTTAGTACTAACACAGATTTTTAATTTAATTCTCCACATGCGTACGATTTAGTGAAGTTCCCACCAATCATATACAGTTCATACCTTGTAAGGTCACAAGCTAGTTTCCTCCCAGCCCTGACTAGGAGAGTAGTAAAGAATAGAGTGACACATTTGGAATGAATATATAAATATAAGCAGGGCTAAAATTTTGTTCTGTAATCATCCCTTTGTTTTTGTCACCAGGATCTTTTTTTTTCCTCTTTTGAATGTATTACATTAACTTTCAGTAAAGATAATGTTACATTAGTGACCTTCAATCTTCTGACAAGCTGGTCATCAAAAACAGATGAAAATAACAAAATTAATAATCTTTTTTAGGGGATTAGATTCTTATTTTTGTTTCCTAAAAAGGCTAGCTCATTGAATTTGCTCAGAATTTGCACAATTATTGTAGCTCATACATAACCTGTGAAGAAATAAAATACCAAAGATTTATGACCATACGTTTTGTAGGTAGTTTTTGTTTTTTAAAGCTTAATCATTCTTTCACATTGCCAATCAAATACCTCTTCATTATAAAAATTCTGGAAAGCCAAACGTTCAGGTCTGTTTCTTTACAAAACCTGTAGAAATTTCCTTTAGTGATGGAGCTTATATGTGAAGATATCATGGAAAGTCATCCCCTGACCCCAGTCATTCTCAGTTCTAGATTTCCCAATGCTGGGATTATCAACCAGCTTCAGAGAGAACTGGTGAGGTTGGTTCACCTCTCAGCTAACATGGCCTGCTTCTGTTCATTCACCTAGGTTTTAAACTGTTAACATGTAAGATTTGATTTTATCAGATTATTTCTATGTGGTGTAGAAACCAAACTGGGTAGAGTTTGAGCCAAAATGTCCAATGTGCTTAATCACTTATATCCAACTCGTATGCATTTGCCTCAGACTCACAGACTGCTTCCTAATCTTGTCCTCCAAAGCTCAGTGGCCAGTCTGGTTTCACAGTGAAACCATGGTTTAGGTACAATGGCAATTGATATGGAGAAAAAAACAATTAGAATAACATTCCTTAAGAGGTGGCAGTATGTGAGTCAGGTATTTAAGGTTTCATGAACTCCACAATCAGCCCATTCAGAAATAAGAGAATAGAATACAGAAAAAAAATTGATCAAACCAAAAGCTATTACTTTTAACATTTTGGCACAATTTTGTGAAGTCTTTTGGTTTATGGATTTTTTTGGTCCATAATTAAAAGCACAAGGTATATGAGATTTTTTTTCTTACAATACAGTTATAATGTAAAATACTTCATAAGCATAACTTTTGTTGTTGAGGAATAAGTCAATGCATGATATAGTAAAATTTACCCAGTCTCCCATTTCTGGACATTTATATTATATTTACATTTATATTTTTTCCAATTTTATTTTTATGTTGGAGTCCCAAAGACCACCCCAAGTTTGCTGATTCATTAGAGGGTCTCACAGTACTTAGCATATGGTTGTAGTCATGGCTAAGGTTTATTACAGTGAAAGGTTACAAAGCAAAATCAGCAAAGGGAAGAGGTACAGGGATTGAAATCCACAGGAAACCGGGAGCAAGAGTCCGATAGTTCTCTCCCAGTGGAGTCAGAAAGGATGCCCTGAATTCCTCCAGCAGCAAGTCATGACAACATGTGTAAAGTGTTGTATACCTGGGATGCTTGTTAAAAACTTAGTACCCAGGATCTCTTATTGGAGCCTAGTCACATAGGCATACTCTGCCTAGCATGTACCAACATTCTGGATTTCTGGAAGGAAAGCAGATATTCAGCAAAAACCATATTGCTTGCACAATTGGTCTGGGTATAGTGAGACACCCTTATCATTTAGGGAAAGTTTTATATCAGGAATTGTTTACCTGCTAAGTTCTAAGGTATCAACCAAAGGTCAACTTTACAAGCAGATGTTGCTAAGAGTAGCAGTCTCAAGCTTGCTATATTAAGTGTTTTCTGCATAATTATTATAAATAATGCTATAATAAACAATTTTGTTAATCTTTAGTCACATTTCAGATAATTTTCTTAGGAAAGACTCTTAGAAATTGGTATTACAAAAAATATGAACATTTAAAAGACTTTTATTACTGACAATTACTTTCCTAAAAGTCTTCAAATTTTCATTTTCATCAGGGATGTATGAGTTCAGGCATCAAAGCCTTGGCTAAAATAGGTAAGGTACATATGATTCATATATCAATACACGATAAACTTGGAATAATTCTTATTTTTTTAAAAATCAAATTATGTGAGATAAATGAAAAACTAATTAATTATTGCTTCCTTTTCAGGTAGACCACTAAGAATATGCCCTTTAAATTATCACTCGGTGTCCACTTTTCCCCAGGACCTCTGTCTTTCTTGCTTAGAAACCTATACTTCACTGTTATCTGTAAAACATGTACTATCTAGTTCACCATAACAATCATTTGTACTATAAAATTAGTGCATATCCTGTTCCAGTAACTGTGGTTATGCAAGCAGCAAAACAGTGCCCGGGACACAGTCCCAATCCTGCTGGAGTTTGCAGTCCATTGCCCGCAAGAACTGCGTTTGGCAGAGTGCTTCCTGACAAAGATGACAAGTATGCTGCCATCCAAGCCAGATAGTAGCCCCTGCATTGCAAAAGTCAATCTTTGATAGACTTGTCATCAGGACCTCTGATTTTCTTAATCAAGAGTTTTCACTTTGTAAGCCTGAGACCAAAGCTTTCTAAAGCTATTATGACACAGCAGGCTGTCTCTCTCCTTTCCTGGGAAGGTAATAGGAGTTCTCACTTTTACCTAATGATACTGTGGTTCACACCCTGCCCACCCCCCCACCCCACACCCGCTCCCAAAAAGGTGCCATTGAGGGCATATTTAAAGGAAACATTCATTTTATTATGTATCTTTATTAAAGGAAGTTTAAACAAATTGTATTTTCTCGTTTGCAAATACAAAATGTTCTCTTTAGAAAAAAATGAGTGCAATTTAGTCTTAATCTAATGCTTCCTTTGAGGCAAACATTTCTAAAATTCATTTTGCTTTCTCCATACCTTGCTTTTGCTCCTAATTTTAACATAATTTTTGCCCACTTTTACCTAAAATTATATAGACTTATTTTTAATGTGTTTCCTCTAAAATTGCCATTAGTTATGATTAATTGCAAAACATTTGGAAAATACAGAACATTATCATGACAGCCATCTAGTATTCTGCTGCCTAAAGACAATTGCTTGTTAATTTTTTTTTCTCTTAGTTAAGTCACCTAGCTTTATAGGAACACCCAGAGGCTGTTCCCATGATATAAGGAAGAGCTTTCTGAAGGGCAAGGTCATGATTCAGGTGATTTAGTTTGAATTGCTAAAATGGAGAAAACTCATATTTAAGTTATAAGAAAATCAAAATCGCCATTATATTGGGTCTCTCGGTACATGTTCAAGCCAAATAAAATGTTTAGTCTTTGCAAGTGCATGACAGAACAAACTGGTTATTGTTTCTTTGGATAATCATAGAACAGGATTCAGTTTGAAAGCTCATTCCATTTGAACTGTGAGTGAGTTCAAGTTTATACCCTAGGGGAAAAAAATGGTTTAGTTCCTAAGAAAGTAGAATATGCAGAATAGAAACTGTGAGGTAAAGCCAGGCAGGACCACACTTTAAGACCAAGCTATAGAATCCATGTAACTACACCTGATCCTATGAGAACTGAGTATATTGGTGAGGGTAAGAACTGCTAGTTCTCTTACACAGTGGTTTCTAAATTCTTTTATTGATTCATGCCTCAGTCTTTAGTTAAGTGTTTTCTGAGCAAATTTTCAGAGCATTGGTGTATTTGATAATGGTGTTTTTTCCTAGCCTTTACACATGGAAGGCAATTTGGTTATAAAATTTATTTAACTTTTCATTTTCCTGAAAATTCTGTTGGTGGTCTATTATTTATTGATTCTTTTGCTGTTTCACAGAAGAAATTTGAGAATAACCTGGAGTTTACACCTTTGCAGATGTTTTTCTTCTTGAATACATATTAAATTTTCTTTATTCTTATCATTGAAGTTTTCTTTACTCCTGTAATTTTGCCGAATATACTTGTATGCAAGTCTCTTTTAATAAACTTACCCCATAATTCAGTGAACTCCAATAGTCAGATGATTCAAATCTTTTGTTCAGCTTAGGAAATTATTACATAGTATGTTTTCTTCATTTCTGATTGTTCTAGTTTCATCTTCAGTAATGTGTGTGGTTCCTTTGATGGATATTTATTTTTTGTGCTCTTTAATCTATAATCTTCTCTCTTATAATTCTCATCTTTGATGCTTTTCTTCTGCATTCTAGGAGTGCTTGCCAAATCCAGTCATTTGATATTCCATGCTGTCACTTATACTCCTACTAACTCTGAAGTACATTTTTATTCTGCCATTACATTTTTGGTTTCTTTGTATTTCTTCCCTTTTAAAAATGCTAATTCTCATTTTTATTTGACTTACAATTATTATTATTGTTAAACTTTTAGTTATTTCTTTATTGTTTTGGCTTCTATTTCAAAGAGTTGGCTTATTATAATATAGTGAGAATGCCAAGCACTTTTCTATAATTTTCCCCTGGGTCTAGCAGAATATTTTTAGATTTAAACAGTTTTACTGAATTTTTAGAATTATAGACTGTGTTAGTTTCCCTATGGCTGCTGTAACAAATTACTGAAAACCTGGTAACTTGAAACAATCCCCAATTTTTTCTTATATTTGTAGAGGCTAGAAGTTTGAAATCAATTTCACTGAATTAAGTCAAGCTGTCAGCAGGACTAGTTCCTTCCAGAGATGCTAGGGAAGAATCTGTTTCCATTGCCTTTTCCAGCTTCTGGAGGCCACCTGCATTCCTTGACTTATGAGCCCTTTTTCACATCACTCCATTCTATTTTTTGCCTCATCATATCTTCTCTTCTGTAGTAAAGTCTGCCTCTGCCTCTCTTGTAAGGACACTTGTGATTACATGTGGTGCCCACCAGGACAATCCCGGATAATCTCCCTCCCCATTTCAGAATCCTTAATTTAATCACAGTTGCAAAGTCTCTTTTGCCATATAAGCTAATAACATTTATAGGTTTCAGGGATTAGGACATGGGTCTCTTTCTGAACAGTCTACCACAGAGACCTTTTCCCTTGTGTCAGAGTCACAGGTAAGCTTCAAGATAGACCTGGGTTCACACAACCTCTTACCCTCTGAACTTGACCAAGGGACATAATATGTTTTCTCCTCTGTTAAATGGAACATCTGCCTCATAGGGTTATTCTGCAGCATAGGTCAGGTAATGTGTGTAAATTGTTTAGTAATTTGAGCCTTCAATAAGTGTTAACAAGTATTACCATGATTAATATAGGCCCTAGTTTATTTACTTTGCCCCAGATAAGGAGAAATTGATCTATGCAGTGAGCGATTACAAATAGAAAGAACATGTGGATTTTTCTCAGCCCTGAGAAAAATCTAGTTCTATAGTTGATGATCAGGTGTCAATGCCTGGTTCTCTGCCTAATTCCCAGTAACTTGCAGACACCTGTCTCAAAAAGTTGAGCTCTGCTGAGGTGGAGACTTTCCTATTCCACACCTTCATTCTTATTATTTTCAGCTATTTACCTCATGAAAAATTACAATCTCCATTATGCATTGTTATCAATACCTGCCCTCCCCAGCCTCCACACAGAACTCTTTCCTTTCCATAGGGCTGTATCAAATACTGCTGCTGAAGCCAGGGCTGCTTTCTTTCCTAGTTGTTGTCTTGGAGCTGTAGTGTCTAAGTGAATTGTGGTAGATGAAGGTAGGAAAAGGGAATCAGTTATTTTAAAGCAGCACCTACATTGTAGAGAAACATTTTTTGTTCTTTTTTTTTCTGTATTTTTTTCCTTGGGAGATATTAAGCATCTTTCTACCATCTTTCAGATTAGGGAGGGGTGAGTATATTATTATGTAAAAGTCACTGATTGCTTTCCTCAATTCACTTCCATTATCCTAATTAAATTTTCTCCTCAATTGCAAATTGGTAAATGGTTAGATTTATTTTTTGTGATCTTGAGATTTTCATCTTCTCCTTTATCATTATAGTATTTATTGAAGTTGTAAAGGGGCTGCCTCACAGCCAAAGGTAACAGACCATATTGAACCAGAAGTCATTATTTTTTTGAACAATTTTTATCTACTATTAGCTTCAAAGTATCTACCAAACTTGTTCAAATACTTGGCAATTCAGAAAGATGTTATGCAACAGTGATGCTACTGTTCTATATCACATTCTTTTCTAATCAGAATGAAGTTCCCATACATTTTCTAACTTACCTTAAGCTTGTTTTGCTGCTTAGTATTTGCTATCTACAAACTTCTGGTTCCTTCAGATAGCAAAATAGTATGTCTTATTTGCTATAAACTTATATATATATATGTTTATTAAGTATAACTAACACAATCACAAGATCCCACAAAGGTCCCACAATAGGCTGTCTGCAGGCTGAGGAGCAAGGAGAGCCAATGCGAGCTCCAAAACTGAAGAATTTGGAGTCTGATGTTCGAGGGCAGGAAGCATCCAGCATGGGAGAAAGATGTAGGCTGGGAGGCTAGGCCAGTGTCTCTTTTCATATTTTTCTGCCTGCTTATATTCTAGCTATGCTGGCAGTTGATTAGACTGTGCCCACCCAGGCTAAGGGTGGGTCTGCCTTTCCCACCCCACTGACTCAAATGCTAATCTCTTTTGGCAACACCCTCACAGACACACCCAGCATCAATACTTTGTATCCTTCAATCCAGTCAAGTTGACACTCATTATTAACCATCACAGCACAAAAAGTATTAAACAGAACATAGTATGAAAAGAATTATCCATATTTCTTAGATATTTTATAACATAGAAATGGTATCCATGAGTATTAACTGGCATTCACTAGATGTACATAATTTAGTCTATCGAATCTGTCAGGACTCAGAACACGATACCCCAAAAATGTGGTGCCTTGGTATGCTGAGTATTTTAAGCTGCAAGAATTGAGAGGACAGTAGAAGCAGGAAGCCCTCTCTGGATTTTTCTCCCTAGAAGCTGGACATAGAAACTAGAATTCCTCTCCTCCAAAGCTAGCAATAAAACCCGGGAACTTCACTCTCGACTTCCTCCCTTCCCTCCTGAAGACTCTCTTGTGACAAATGTCCTGCCCCATATCTGGAAGCCAAGAAAAATCCGAAGAAATAAGCCTTGCTGAGTTTCCCCTAGTTTACTAAGGTCATACCACATTTTGTCCAATCATACTTCTACATAAAAAATGCAGTTCTCCCTGAGTCTTTGTGTCTTCATTTCTGAAGCCTCCTATGTTACACAAAACTTTGATAAACAAGCTTGTTATACTTTTCTCTTGTTAATCAGTCTTTGTTATAGGGATGTCTCCTCCATGAACACTTCCAATGGGTGAGGGAAATATATTACTTTTTCTCCTCTACAAATCTTTGTTTTCATTGAATCCTTTTGGAAACAACTTATTATAAACAAACAAAAGAAGGTGGTTTAAGTAATTTTAGAGTAAAGGCCTTGTTCATTTTGTACTATAAATTCAACACATATGAATTGATTTAAATGGACATTTCAGTCATTAATTCTAAAATTTAAACTAATGTAACAGATGGAATTCAGCCACCCAAGCAAGCTTCTGGGGTTTGATTATTCAAATGATTAAGATGCTATTTGTCAACTCTAGTTTGCCACCCCTTTTAATTATATAGATAATCAAACTAGGAACTGCTAATTCTGTCTCCTAACTATTAATTGTTTGTAATTACCTACAGATTAAAACTGCATGTGCAATTAACTCAAAGAATTAATTGATACGAGAGAATTGATAAAAGGGAAACAGAACGAGCTTGGCATAAAAGAGGCTCTAGGGACACGGGACCACTAAACTCAGTAATGTCTTTGGTTTTATCATATCCTAATAAAGATACATTTTCATTTGAACTTGCTTCTACTCTGGAAGGCAGATATACAGACTATTTCTTAAGAGCATTTGGTTTCTAAGTTGACCAAAACAGTATATTTTTAAACGTTGAACTACTATTGCCTTTGGGTCTTTTGCTGATATCCAGGTGAATTGAACCAATCTATTCATTTGCGATACTAAGATAATATTTGTCACTACAAAAATTATAGATGTGGGGATTGTTTTAACTACCTAAGAACTTTTCTTTCCTTCCCTTTTCTTTCCCTTGTTTCTCATTCCCTGACATTATCACCTGTCGTATACGATCTTTTCAGTTTTCTGTGAGTCATTTGTATAATTTAAGCTTATAAAATAACAACTACTTATTAGGTTTTGGAAATGTCTCCCACCTGTGTAAATAATGGGCTAATTGTCAACTACATAAATTTGAATAAAAACAGAAAATAAAATTGAAAAATGATTACCATTATAAACGTCAAGATGATGCTAGAAAGTGAGGGGAGATGGTCTGGTGAAAAATATCTAAAAGTCAGAATTTTAAAAGCCCATTTCTTAGGATTTTCTGTTTCTTTATGTATTTATTTCAGTTGGATTCTATGGGACCTTTCACTCTTATGGTTTTGTTGGTTAGCCTTGTAGTCAATGCCAAATCGGGTTCTAATCCAGGAGCACATGCATGCGCGCGCACACACACACACACACACACACTTGGGGCACATCATTATATTCAGTTTTATGGCGCATACAAAGCAAGTGAAAGACTTTTAAGTCTCAATATGCAAATTAGATATGCAGAAAGGCAGCACACTAACATGAATTAATATTTTTTTGATGATAGTCTAAAATATTGAAGAAACACAAAGTCAGATATCAGTATGAGTAGTTATTTAACAAATTTTTTTATGTTCAACACTAGCTACTTTTTAACTCCTTGTTAAACTGATGTGACCATTTTGGTTTCTTTCCAAATCTTGATATTGCGTTTTCCTCAGATTCGTTTACTCTTACAATATTTTATTCTGTCCTGCTGACTGATAACTGGGATTACTGACAAGACTTCTTTTCCATCTATCAATATACAGCCTACTCTTGTGCACATGTGTACACACACACACACACACACACACACACACACACCTGGGATTCAGAACCTTTATTTCTATGTGTCATTATCTGTGAAGATTGTTGACTCCAGGAAGGGTTTGTGAAGATTTAGTCTGATTAATGACTTTGGTCTTCATCAAACTATTAGCTTATAACTTTCGACTGACTTTGTGGAATAAACTGGAATTTGTTGCATGTCACCTTCTGTGCCTGGCTTCTAAGGAGGAGTCATTAGCATACATCAGTATGTGAATGATTACCTTGAGGATTTTAGTGGAGGCTTTACTGCTTCCTGAAGCGGAAAAGTTATAGCTATATTTTCTAGTATGATACCTATATACTGGGAGAAAATAATGCATGGTGTTTTCAACTCTGTGAGTCTGTTTTATGAGTAAGCAAGATAAAACATTTGAAAATGCTCTGGACTCTATTGGAAAAATAAGTTGTATAGGTTTTAGTTTCATATATTGGGTTGGACTCTTCAATGATCAAGAAGATAATCTCTTTGCCTGTAAGATTTAACCTTTTCAGACAATTCATTTTTTAATCAGAGAGGAATTTTATTTATTTATTTAATTTTATTTTTTAAATTAACAAATAAGTGTACACATTCATGGGAGTACAGAGTGATGTTTTTATACATATAATGTATAGTGATCAGATCAGGGTAGTTAATATATTTATCATCTCAGACATTTGTCATTTCTTTGTGTTGGGAATGTTCAATATACTCCTTCTTATTCACCAGTATTTACATAGCTACCTTATTCGCATTGCTAATGAATCAGAAACACAGAGCAATTCCAGGTAAGTTATAGTCCTTGCCTTGGAACAGTTTATAAATTCAAAATGAGATTGGAAAGAGAAGCATGATTATCTAAAATATGAGATATTGCTTATTGTACGTAATGGTGCATTAAGGGGAGTGGGTAGGTCAGGAATAATGCCCATGAGCTGGGGAATTCTTTGAATTCGTTAAGAGGGCTTCATAAGAAACGTAAGGGTGTATACATCTTAATAACTCTTGTGTTACTCTTTTATACTCCCTTGGTCTTACAAAGCTGCCAAATGAAAATATAAAGGGCATGGCCTTTCCCTTGCTATCTTCTTCTTAGGTACTAAAATGCTCAGATTCTCTACAAGCTACTCGTTATTGGCCTTTGCTTCCGTTGAATAATTTTAAGTTCGAGACCATCCTGGCTAACACTGTGAAACCCCGTCTCTACTAAAAAATACAAAAAATTAGCCGGGCGTGGAGGCTGGTGCCTGTAGTCCCAGCTACTCAGGAGGCTGAGGCAGGAGAACGGCGTGAACCTGGGAGGCAGAGCTTGCAGTGAGCCGAGATCGCACCACTGCACTCCAGCCTGGGGGAAAGAGTGAGACTACGTCTCCAAAAAAAAAATAAAAAAGAATTCCACTGATTCACATTGGATTGTGATTGAAATATATGATTGTGTTGCCTCTTCTAGAGATTTTGCCTTTTTGAAAGAGTGCAGAGACTCTTGACTGAAATGGAAGAAATATATATAAAGTTAAAATGAGGCAGAATGTTTATGTACTGATTAGAATGTCTCTGAGATAACATTACCTTTTTATTATTTTATGTTACTTCATTGCCTCCCCATAGACCACTCAAATTATGATCCTGTAAATAAATTGAAGCAATGAAGTGAGAGAATTTATTACTTCTTGAGTTTTCTATAAATTTATGTAAAACTAAGCAGTCCATGGATGACTTTATTAAATTGAAAGTTTCAGGAAAGACTACATAGATACACATATATACATATATATACATATATGAAGGAAAATTGGAAATATGAAAATAGTTTGATTCATTTCGATGGCAGGATTGAACTGAATTTCCTTCTTTTTAAATGATTAATATCTCTGAGGAAAAAAATGGACAAATAAATCTTAAATCTCTTTCCTATGATTAAAGAAAAATGGTTTCTGTAGAAATCTTATGTACCAACTGCCATGAGACAGAACAAATATGTGGTGATGCTGGCTAACCTTTTGTGCTTTCGACCTATTTACCTTAAAGACTTTTAATAATTTAATTTACTTTGCAATATCAAAACTTGTGCCTTATAAAATACTGAATTTTCTTTTAAAGTATGTAACACAGAGAGGTTTTCCTTTTATTTTTATAAGTGCTATTCGCAAACATGATTTTCCTTTAAGCCTCCTTTAAAAAAAAAGAAGTTGATGTTCTTCATGAGGAGATAGTAAAGAGAATGAACCTATAGTTTTCTGATGGGCACACTGTGCAATAAAAACACGAGAACCTTACCATATGAAGGAGCCAATTAATTGAAGCCTCTCTCTATGCAATCCTATCATGTCTTCATTTCTCTACGATTAGATGACAAGATGTGATTTTAATACAGAATAGTGAGGCCATAAAGATGATTTGCTTTACTCTTTGCAACATTAAGCAATATAATCAGTGTGTACTTTTCCTGGATAGATATTGTTTTAACCTGCATTGATATTTCTAACAGACAAAGCATTCTATGACTGGAGAGGATTTGTGCTGACAAGGTCTTTCCGTTTGGCTTGTGACTCCCGTCGAGTTAGTTTCTCTCAATCATCATCAATATTTCGGGATTATTATTCTGTAAGTATTTATAAAACTGGATGTAGATTTGAATTGCCATTTTTCCAGTAAATTATTGCATTAATTTTGATGAAAGCACTTGAGATTTTACTATGGACCTGTTTCAGTCCTAAGATAGTTCTCCACTGAAATTCATTTTTTCTGAAGCATTGCTTTAGTTTTGTTCTTGTGTCTTGTGTAAATCTTGCTGATCACCCGATCCCACAATATGCATGTCATTTTTTATTTGAAGAGCATTGGTTAAAGCGATCATCACATGGTTTGCTCCAAATGTGTTAGCACCTCCACTATTTTTGTAATGGTACATAGACTGTCAAGAAAACATAATGAAGGCAAGGGGAGAATGTAGAATGTAGACATCTGTTAAAGGCATGATAATGGAAGGATTAAAAAATCCAAGGGCAATTTTATGACCACATGTTGATGGTTTTCTGAATGAAGACTCTAATCCAGGACATGAGAACTTGTGATCTGAAAGTAGAATTGGTACTTTAAATTCATTTATTTCTCAAAGCAAGTCCTAATATATACATGTGAATAGTAGAAGAAACTCATGTTATTCAGACATCTTTAGCAACAATTTCTTAAAAGGCCACGTAATGCTATTTTACAACATTGTGTTTCGCAGTGTCTGTAAATATGTCTGGGTTTCTTACATCTCCCACATGTTCTGTTGTGTGTGTGAATATGTCTGTCCTGTCCTTTATCTTCTTTATCTTTTTCTCTCTTTTCATATCACTGATTTTTTTTTCCTGGACTTGCCATTTGCTGTTATTACAAAATACCACAGACTGGATGGATTAAACAACAAAAATTTATTTTCTTACTGTTCTGGAGGCTGGAAGTCCAAGATAAAGTTGCTGGCAGCGTTGGTTTCTCCTGAGACCCTTTTCCTTGGCTTGCAGACTGCTACCTTCTCATTGTGTCCTCACATTGTCTTTCTTCTTCTTCTTTTCTTTTTTTTTTGTTTTTGAGACGGAGTCTCTCTCTGTTGCTCAGGCTAGAGTGTAATGGTGTGATCTCAGCTCACCGCAACCTCCACCTGCCGGGTTTAAGTGATTCTTGTGCCTCAGCCTTCTGAGTAGCTGGGATTACCGATGCTTGCCACCATGCCTGGATAATTTTTGTATTTTTAGTAGAGACGGGGTTTCACCATATTGGTTAGGCTGGTCTCAAATTCCTGACCTTAGGTGATCTGCCCACCTTACTCTCCCAAAGTGCTGGGATTACAGGTGTCAGCCACCATGCCCGGCCATGTTGTCTTTCTTCTGTACTAATGCATCCCTGGTGTCATATTGGATTAGGACCCTACCCTTATGACCTCATTTAATCTTAATTACCTCCTTAAAGGTCTTATTTCCAAATCAAGTTACAGTGGAGGTTTGAACTTCTACATATGAATTTCAAAGGGACACAATTTAGTCCATAACATCATTAGACAACTGAAATATATTTTACCAAATTCTTTTATCTACCTGTTGAATAGTTCTTAATCTGTCATTTTAAATAACACATGTTGGATTTTTATTTTTTTCTGTAAACCAAAACTTTTAAGTTATTAATATATCATATTTAGCATATGTTGCTAAATTCCTTGTGAGTCAAATTTACTAAAGCTAATTTTTTTATTTCTAATGTTTTTATTATGTTTGTTTTTATAGATTTAGGGATAGTGCAGTTGTTTTACATGGATAGTTACATTGTGCTGAAGTCTGGGCTTCCAGTGTAGCTGCCACCTGAATAATGTACATTGTACACAATAGATAGCATTTCATCCCTCACCCCTTTCCCATCCTCCCACCTATTAGCATCTCCAGTGTCTATTGGATGACCATCGCTACCCATAGTTTAGCTCCCACTTACGAATGAGAACATGTGGTTTTTGACTTTCTGCTTCGGAGTCATTTCGCTTAGGATAATGGCCTCCAATTCCATCCACATTGCTGCAAAATACATGATTTCATTCTTTTATATGACTGAGTAGTATTCCATGGTGTATATATATATATATATATATATATCCATCCCACATTTTTAATCCAGTCATCTATTGATGGACATTTACGTTTATTCTGACTTTGTTATTGTAAACAGTGCTGCCATAAACATAATGAATGTGTGTATACAATGATTTCTATTTGTTTGGGTAAATACCCAGTAGTTGAATTGCTGAACTGAAGTTAGTTCTATTTTTAGTTCTGAGAAATCTCCAGACTGTTTCCCATAGAGGGTGTACTAACTTATATTTCCACTAACTGTATAAGTGTTCCCTTTTCTCTGCATCCTCACCAACATTTACTGTTTTTTGACATTTCAATAGCCACTGTGATGTGTAAGATGGTGTTTCATTGTGGTTTTAATTTGCATTTCTTTGGCGATTAGTGATGTGGAGCATTTTTTCATATGTTTGTTGGCTGCTTTTGTGTCTTCTTTTGAAAAATGTCCACTTATGTCCTTTGCCCACTTTTTAATGGGATTTTTTTTTCTTGTTTGCATTTCTAATAGATTCTGGATATTAACCTTTTGCCAGATGCATGTTTGTAAGGATTTTCTCCCATTCTGTAGGTTGTCTGTTTATTCTTTTAATTATTATCTTGTACAGGAGCTTTTCAGTTTAATGAGGTCTCATTTGTCCATTTTTGTTTTCATTGCATTTCCTTTTGAGGGCTTATCTGTAAATTCTTTGCCTAGGCCAATGTCCAGAAGACTTTTTCCTAGGTTTTCTTCTAGGATTTTTATGGCTTCAGGTCTTACATTTAAGTCTTTAATCCATCTTGAGTTAACTTTTGTGCATAGTGAGAGATAGGGGTCCAGTTTTATTCTTCTGCATATGGCTTTCCAATTTTACCAGCACCATTTCTTGAATAGGGTGTCCTTTTCCCAATGTATTTTTTAATTGCCTTTGTCAAAGATCACTTGGTTGTAATAATGTGACTTTATTTCTGGGTTATTTATTCTTCCATTGATGTATGTATCTATTTTTGAACCAATGTCACGCTGTTTTGATTATTATAGTCTTGTATAATTTGAAGTCAGGTAATGTGATACCTCTAGCTTTATCATTTTTGCTTAGGATTACTTTGGCTATTCAGGCTCTTTTTTGCTTCCATATAAATTTTAGGATTATTTGTTCTAATCCTGTGAAGAATGACATTGGTAATTTGATAGGAATTGTATTAAATCTAGACATTGCCTTGGGCAGTATGATCATTTAAATTATTTTTATCCTTCCAATTCATGAGACTGGGATGCTTTTCCATTTGTTTGTGCCATCTATGATTTCTTTCATCAGAATTTTTTAGTTGTCCTTGTTGAGATATTTCACTCCCTAGCTTAAATGTATTCCTCAGTGTTTTTTTTTCTGTAGCTATTATAAATGGGATTGAGTTATTGATTTGGTTTCCAACTTGATCATTATTGGTATATTGAAATGCTGCTAATTTTTGTACATTGATTTTGTATCCTGAAACTTTACTGAGTTCATTTATCTGTTCTAATAGTTTTTTTGATGGAGACTTTAGGTGTTTATAAACTGAAAGTTTGGGGTGTACTGGAGTGGACACCAGGTGGTCAATAAAGTGACCTTTTTTGCCTGTCCAGTTAGAGGTAATAAAGGTTTATATCTTACCCTTGTGTACCAACTACATGGTTGGGGGTGTGTCTGAATAAATATGAGAGAATGATATTCAAACACTCAAATTTGTTTTTTGCTGCTCAGTTCATTTTCAATTTTCACCACTGGAAGTCTAAATGGATGTTTTAGTAAGGATTCCCCTTTCGTTTATTTTTTAAAATACCAACACCTATAACAGGAATCAAACACCAAGTTCTTTTTTTGTTTGTTTTTTTAGTTTACTTTAAGTTCCAGGATATTGGCTGGGTGCAGTGGCTCATGCCAGTAATTCCAGCACTATGGGAGGCTGAGGCAGGTGGATCACCTGAGGTTGAAAGTTCAAGACCACCCTGAGCAACATGGAGAAACCCTGTCTCTACTAAAAATACAAAATTAGCCAGGAGTGGTGGCACATGCCTGTAATCCCAGCTACTCGGGAGGCTGAGGCAGGAGAATACCTTGAACCCAGGAGGTAGAGATTGTGGTGCTGAGATTGCACCATTGTACTCCAGCCTGGGCAACAAGAGTGAAACCCCATCTCAAAAAAAAAAAAAAAAGTTCCAGGATATATGTGCAGAACATGTAGGTTTGTTACATAGGTATACATGTGCCATGGTGGTTTGCTGCACCTATTAACTTGGCACCTAGGTTTGGGTTTGTTACATAGGTATATGTATGCCATGGTGGTTTGCTGCACCTATCAACCTGGAACATAGGTTTTAAGCCCCAAATGCATTAGCTATTTGTCCTTATGCTCTCCCTCCCCTCCCCACACCCCGCTGCCGCCCAACATGCCCTGTGTGTGTTGTTCCCCTCCCTGTGTCCATGTAAACACCAAGTTCTAAGTAGACTTTTTTCATTTTAAATAATGAAAATAATTTAAAATTATTGTTTATAAATTTATATTTTGTAAAATATACATAACATATATTTTACCATTTTAACCATTTTTAAGTTTATAGTTCTTTGGCATTTATCACAATCACATTGTGTGTAACCATCATTACTATCCATCTCCAGAGCTTTTTTATCTTCCCAAACTGAAACTCTACATAGTAAACACTAATTGTCTCTACGTCTCTCCCTTGATTCCCTGGAAACCACCATTCTACTTTCTGTTTTCGTTAATTTGACTACTCTAGGTGTCTCATAAACAGAATCGTAGAATATTTGTTCTTTTGTGGCTGGCTTATCTCAGCATGTTTTCAAGGTTCATACACATTGCATCATGTGTCAGAATTTCTTTCTTAGGCTGAATAATATTCCATTGTATGTATATACTACATTTTGTTTATCCATTCTCCCATCAATGGACACTTGGGTTGCTTCCACCTTTTGGATATTTTGAATAATGTTGCCACGAACATGGGTGTACAGATATTGTTTGAGTTCTACTTTTACTTCTTCTGGGTGTGTACCCAGAAGTGTAATGCTAGAATATAATGTATTTCTCTGTTTAATTTTTTGAGGAATAACCATATCATTTTCCACAGTGGCTGTACCATTTTACCTTCCCACCAGCAATGCACAAGGGTTCTAGTTTCTCCCATTTTCTTATATTTTCTGGTGCTTCACATCCTAATGGATATGAAGTTGTAAGTCATCTTGATGTGAAATTGTTTTATCAATTCAGAAGACAAAAGGTGACTGGGAAAACTCAAAACAGAGAAGCCTGCCTTGTTAAAAGAGGAGTGGAAACAAGGGCATAGGAAACTTGGTCTTTGATTTCATTGGAAGAGAGATAAATATAACATACTCTACTTAGAAGAACTCTTTACAACTTAGTTAGTCTTATCAAAATTTTAATTTGCTAAAATAAAGTCATTGTAGATATGCATTCTTTAGACTAGAAGAACACTATCCTTTTTAAGCCTGAAGTGCTTTTTAAAATGTATTTTGTATCCTCATATGTTTTTAGTTCTAATTAAAAAAATCAATAGTGCTATATGTCTTTATGCTTTAAACGTTTCACTTCTGCAACCACATGTTTATTGTATTAGAATTATATTAGAATTTCCAGTTACTTTAATCAGTGGCACATGGGACCCTAAACTTTTTAATGTAAAATTTTAAAAACTGCATCCTGAAGAAACAGTTTCTAGTATTACTTTTTATGGTCTCTGAAGTACTAAGATATTTTTAACCATAATTATCCTGAAAGATAATATTTATCTAAGGTGAGTGAGACCTGGAATGTAATTCCTTGTGTAACATAAAATGTAATATTACATTGCAGTCTGATAGGAAAGATCACCATCTCCAACTTTCTTGAGGCAATTTCTCATCATAACTCTTCTTTAAAAGGTTTGCTAACTTTATAATGTATGAAGCAATCATGGAACATATAATGTAGGGGATTGTAGTCATAGCTGAAAAAAAAACAACATCTAACCTTGGTATTTATCAAAATTCTGAGACGTGACAATCAATGCACTTATCTATAGTGTTCTTAAAATAGGAGGATAGAAACAAATATTGGCAGAAATTTGTATAAGTAATTTCTAGTTAGTATTTGGAAATACAGAAGAGAGTGAAATAACTGTAATCAATTAGCTGTCAGTATGACAGGACTCTCCTCAGCAAGTGGCTAACATACTATGTTGCAGTGGTCCTAAGAGTCAGGAAGGTGTCACTGGGAGGAGCTCTGCCACTTGTGGATGCCCTAGAACAAGCTTGTCCAGCTCGCAGCCTGTGGGCCACATGTGGCCCAGGATGGCTTTAAATGAGGTCCATTACAAATTTGTAAACTTTCTTAAAACACTATCAGATTTTTTGGCGATTTTTCTTTTTAGCTTACCAGCTATCGTTAGTGTTAGTGTATTTTATGTGTGGCCCCAGGCAATTCTTCTTCCAATGTTGCCCAGGGAAGCCAAAAAACTGGACACCCATGCCCTAGAATGAGGAAGAGCTGACAAGCAAGGGAATGTCTGTGCTGCATGAATACATGCACTTTGCAATGGTGATAGGGCCAAGGGGTAGCGGGAAAATTGTTCCAGCCCCAGAAAGGACAGTTGTGGTTGTCCAAGGTGGAAAGACAGGATTCATCTCAGAGACTGAAAGAAATTCAGTGTGGCAAAAGCACAGCATGCTAGAGGGAAGGTGGCAAGAAATGAAGCTGAAGAGATAAGCAAGGACCTATAATCATCAAGTGCCATGTAGACCTCTTTAATGAGCTTATGCCCTAGAATAGGAGGAAGCCATTCAATCGCTTTATAGCTTCTTAACTCTCAATGAAAAGAATTTGCCTAACTTTGATGCTTGAAGTACAGGATTACGAGCAAATAGAATTCAGTCTCATAATAAGCTGCATTAAAAATTGTTTTCAAAGAACATATTATGGACTTCTGGACATTAGACTTTGCAGCCCCACCCTCAACACTCCCACCAAGGGGAACACATCCTACATGAGAGAGGAGAATAAAAAAGAATTGCTGGTCATATTTTTTAAAAAACATAGGTTTAGGTCATGAAAAAAATAAAAACAGGTCATTCGTTTTGTAGAAACATATTGTTTCAAAGACTTGGAACCAACCCAAATGTCCAACAATGATAGGCTGGATTAAGAAAATGTGGCACATATACACCATGGAATGCTATGTAGCCATAAAAAATGATGAGTTCATGTCCTTTGTAGGGACATGGATGAAGCTGGAAACCATCATTCTCAGCAAACTATTGCAAGGACAAAAAACCAAACACCGCATGTTCTCACTCATAGGTGGGAATTGAACAATGAGAACACATGGACACGGGAAGGGAAACATCACACACCGGGGCCTGTTGTGGGGTGGGGGGAGCGGGGAGAGATAGCATTAGGAGATATACCTAATGTTAAATGACGAGTTAATGGGTGCAGCACACCAACATGGCACATGTATACATATGTAACTAACCTGCACATTGTGCACATGTACCCTAAAACTTAAAGTATAATTAAAAAAAAAAGTGAAAACAGGAATTTCAAGTATAACTTAAGTTCTTCACATCAGGTTAATTTTGACCATAGAATGGATTGACAAGATTTTAATATACGAAATTTTTCATTTTTCTCTGGAGAAATTTCTTGAATCATTTTGGTAAAAATGAATATGGGGAGAATCGAAGGAGATTTTCTTCTTCTGACTTGGAAATTTCAACATCTTTTTAAAATTCCTTACCAAATTGTACTGTCAGAAAACTGTGGGCATGCACTTGAAAAATTTTATCACATAATGAAAAATAGTAAATTAACTTTTATTATATAAAACATATTTGCTCATTTTTTTCTCCCTCATCATATTTTCTTCTCTTTGCGCTTTTTCTTCTCTCCTCCAAAACATTTGAGGAGGTACTGTAATTATTTTCATACTCATGATTTTCTCCTCTAATGGGTTACATTTGATAAAAGATGGTTATCTCATTTGATTTTCTGACATTTCTATGAATTAGCACAAATCATCAGAACTACTAAATTTAAAAATTCTTTTTATTCATATGATTTCCTAATTTTGGGGGGTCATTTTGTTTAGAAATAAAATTACTTTTGGGAAATTCTATAGTGGGGTTGGAATTAACTCAGGTCCTGAGTTAACAGGTAAGTGACTATGATTTTTTTTGACATTTTGAATAGCATTCCAGTAGTTAATTCTTATCTATGTTTTGTGTTTGTTTTCTTCCTACTGTAAGGAGTATTGATGCCCAAGGTTGTACATTATCTTTAAACTTCCCAATTTTAATTTTGAAATGAATATTTCTTTTCCTATGAAATATTAATGTATGAATCTCTTCGACAAAATGACATAGATATTTACTTTGAAAAAACTATATTAATTTATGTAGTTTACAGTTACAGTTACATAGCTTACAAAGTTACATAGTTACAGTTACATAGTTACCAAAAAAACCCGCTTTTTTTGTTTTTTAAAACAATTTTATTGTACAATTTAGAGCACAGGAATTGTTCCTGCTTTGCTACTTTTAGTACAAGTCATTTCATTTCTTTGTGATCCATCTTGCTCCTTTGAAAATGAACATACATATGTATTTATATATTAATAACTCACCTTGTTTCACAAAGGTTGTAAATCTGTGTCTAAAAGTGTGACAAAAAAGACCTCAGAAATATGTAAATGAGAAAATGGGTGGAAAAATAAAATGAAGCTCAGGTTATTTTTGGACATACATAAAGTGATTTCACTTGGTAGAGATGGCCGTGAATGTGCTTTGGAGCTTTACAATCATAATTGCCAAAAGAGTAGTATGGTTTGGCTCTGGGTCCTCACCCAAATCTCATCTCAAATTATAATCCCCATATGTTGGGGGAGGGCCTGGTGGGAGGTAATTGAGTCATGGGAATGGACATCCCCCTTGATAGTGAATTTCCACAAGATCTGATTGCTTGAAGGTGTGTGGTACTTCCTCCTTTGCTCTCTCTCTCTCTCTCTCTCCTTCCCCCATGTAAGATGTGCCCTACTTCCCTTCACCTTCCACCATGATTGTACATTTCTTGAGGTCTCACCAGCCATGTAGAACTGTGAGTCAATTAAACCTCTTTTCTTTATAAATAATAAAATTATTGTTAATTATTGTAAATATGTAATAGTTGTATATTTTCATGGGGTACATATGATATTTTGATACAACATATAATTATCAAATCTCAAGTATTTATTATTTCTTTATGTTAGGAACATTCCAGTTCCACTTTTTAAGTTATTTTGAAATATACAATAAATCATAGTTAACCATAGTTGCCCTATTGTTCTACTGAACACTAGATCTTATTCCGTCTGTCTAACTATATTTTTGTACCCATTAACCATCTCTTCTTTATCTCACCACCCCCATTACTCTTCCCAGACTTGGGTAACCATCATTTTACTCCCTCTCTCCATGAGATAAAATTATTTTTTAGCTCCCATATGTGAGTGAGAACGTACAATATTTATTCTTTTGTGCCTGGCTTATTTCATTTTACATAATGTCCTCCAGTTCCATTCATGTTGTTGCAAGTGACAGGATTTCATCCTTTTTATGTCTGAATAATATTCTATTGTGTATATGTACCATACTTTCTTTATTCATTCATTTGTTGATGGACTTTTAGGTTGATACTATATCTTGGATTTGTGAATAGTGGTGCAACAAACATGTAAGTGCAGCTACGTCTTTGACATACTGATTTCCTTTCCTTTGGATATATACCCAGCAGTGGGGTTGCTGAATCATGTAGTAGTTCTATTTTTAGTTTTTTGAGGAACCTCCATACTGTTCTTCATAGTGGCTATAGTAATTTACATTTTTCATTTCTCTGCATTCTCACCAGCATCCATTATTCCATTTTTTTTAGTAAAAGCCATTTTTACTGGGTTGAGATGATATCTTACTGTGGTTTTGATTTGTATTTCTCTGATAATAGTGATGATGACAATTTTTTATATACTTGACCGTTTGTATGTCTTCTTCTGAGAAATGTCTATTCAGATATTTTGCCTATTTTAAAATCAGATTATTTATCTTTTCCTATTGAGTTGTTTGAGCTTTTTATATATTTTGGTTATTAATCACTTGTTAGGTGGTAATTTGCAAATATTTTCCCCCATTCGTTGGCTGTCTCTACTTTGTTGATTTCTTTGCTGTGAAGCAGCTTTTTAACTTAATATGATCCCATTTGTTAATTTCTGCTTTGGCTTCCTGTGCTTTTTAGGTCTTATTCAAGAAATCTTTGCCAAGACCTACATCCTAGAGTGTTTACCCAATGTTTTCTTCTAGTATTTTCATAGTTTTGAGTCTTATATTTAAGCCTTTAATTCATTTTCGTTTGAGTTTTGTGTAAGGTGAGATATAGGGGTCTAGTTTCATTCTTCTGCCTATGGATGTTCAGTTTTCCCAGCACCATTTATTGAAGACTGTTATTTTCCCAGGCCGTGTTCTTGGCACCTTTGTTGAAAATGAGTTTACTGTAAATACATGAATTTACTTCTTGTTTCTCTGTTCTGTTCCACTGGTCTATTTGTTTTTATGCCACTATCAGGCTGTTTATGTTACCATAGCTTTATAGTATAATTTGAAGTCAGGTAATGCAATGCCTCCAGCTTTGTACTTTTTACTCAGGATTGCTTTGGCTATTCAGGGTCTTTTGCAGTTCCATATAAATTTTAGGATTATTTTTTATTTCTGTGAAGAATGCCATTGGTATTTTGATATGTTTTACACTGAATTTGTAGATTGCTTTGGGTAGTATAGACATTTTAACAAAATTGATTCTTCCAATTCATGAACATTGGAATACCCTTCCATTTTTTTGTCCTCTTCAATTTCTTTCATCAATGTTTTATAGTTTTCCTTGTAGAGATATTTTACTTCTTTGGTTAAGTGTATTCCTAGGTGTTTTTATTTGTGGCTATTATAAATAGAATTACTTTGTTGGTTTCTTTTTCAGATTGTTTGCAGTTGGCATATAAACATGCTACTGATTTTCGTAAGTTGATTTTATATTCTTCAATTTTGCTGAATTTGTTTATCAGTTCTAATATTTTTTTGGTGGAGTGCTTATGTTTTTATAAATATGTGATCATATAATCTGCAAACTAGGATAATTTGACTTTTTCCTTTTCAATTTTGATGCCCTTTATTTTTCTTGTTAAATACTCCGTCTAAGACTTATAGTGCTATGTTGAATAAAAGTGGTGAAAGTGGACATCCTTGTCTTATCCCAGATATTAGAGGAAAGACTTTCAGTTTTTCTCCATTTAGAATGGTATTGGTTGTGAGTTTGTCTTCTATGGCTTTTGTTATGTTGAGGTATGTTCCCCCTATACCGAGTTTGTTGAGAGTTTTTATCATAAAGGGATGCTGAATTTTGTCAAATGCTTTCTCAGCATCTATTGAAACAATCATATGATTTTTGTCCTTCATTCTGTTGGTATGATGTATCACATTCATTAATCTGTGTGTTTTGCCATCTTTGCATCCCTGGGGTTAATCCCATTTAATCATGATGAATGATTCTTTTAATGTATTATTGAATTTTGTTTGCTAGTATTTTTGGAGGATTTTTGTATCTATGGTCAAGATATTGGCCTGTAGTTTTCTTTGATTTTGTTCTGGCTTTGTCTGGTTTTTGTATCAGCATAATACTGGCCTTGTAGAATGAGTTTGGAAGTATTCTCTCCTCAATTTTTTAAAAAAATAGTTTGAGTATGATTAGTATTAGCTGTTCTTTAAATGTTTGGTAGAATACAACAGTGAAGCCATCAGGTCCTGGACTTTTCTCTGATGGGAGATTTTTAAATTACTGCTTCTATCTCAATACTAGTTGTGGTCTATTCAGGTTTTTTATTTCTTCATGGTTCAATCTTCGTAGGTTGCATGTGTCTAGGAGTTTATCCATTTTATAGGCTTTCCAATTAATTAGCATATAGTTGCTAATTATAATCTCTAATGATCCTTTGAATTTCTGTGGTATCAGTGGAATATCTCCTTTTTCATCTCTCATTTTATTTATTTGGGTCTTCTGTCTTTGTTTTTTCAGTCTGGCTCAACTTTTGTTCATTTTGTTGTCCTTTTAAGATACCATCTTTTTGGTTTTTGATCCTTCATGGTGTTGTTTTCATTTCATTTATGTCTGCTCTGATCTTTATATTTTTCTCTTCTATTAATTTTGGCTTTGATTTGTTCTTGCTTTTCTTGTTCTTTAAGATGCATCATTAGGTTATTTGACTGTTTTCTGCTTTTTTGATATAGGCATTTATTGCTATAAATTTCATTCAATGCTTCTTTGGCTGTATCCCATAGGTTTTGGTATGTTGTGTTTTCATTTTCATTTGTTTCAAGAAAGTTTTCAATTTGTTTCTTAATTTTTTAATTGACCCACTAGTCATTTGGGAATATATTAAGTTCCATATGTTTCTACCATTTTCAAAGTTCTTCTTGTTATTGATTTCTATTTTATTCCATTGTAGTTAGAAAAGGTACTTCATATGATTTCAATGTTTTTAAATTTTTTGAGACTTGTTTTGTGGCATAACATATAGTTTATCCTTGAGAATATTCCATGTGTTGAGGAGAAGAATGTGTATTTTGCTGCTGTTGAATAAAATATTCCATAAATATCTATTCAGTTCATTTGGTCTATAGTGAAGATTAAGTCTGATGTTTCTTAATTGATTTTCTGTCTAGATTATCTGTCTAATGCTGAAAGTGGAGTGTTGATGTACCCAGCTATGATTATATTGGAGTCTATATTTGTCTTTAGTTCTGGTAAAATTTGCTTTGTATTTCTGGGTGCTCCAGTGTTGGATGAATATAATTTGGAAATTGTTATATTCTCTTGCTGTATTGTCTCCTCTACCATTATATAATAACCTTCTTTGTTCCTTTTTGTCTTGAAATCTCTTTTATCTGATAAGTATAGCCATTCCTACTCTTTTTTTGGTTTCCACTGGCATGGAGTATTTTTTTTCCATTCCTTTATTTTAAGTCTATGTGTGTCTATAGGTGAAGTGACTTTCTTGTAGGCACCATATGGTTGGCTCTTGTTTTTTAAATCCATTCAGCTGCTCTATGTATTTTGATTGGAAAATTTAGTTCATTTACATTCAATGTTATTATTCATTGGTAAGGACTTACTACTGCCATTTTGTTATTTGTCTCCTTTTTCCCTCCCTCCCTTCCTTCCTTCCATCCATCTTCCTTTGTGTAAAAGTGATTTTCTTTGGTAGTATGTTTTAGTTTCTTTTCTTAAAATGTTACGTATCTAAAATAGATTTTTGTTTTGTGGCTATCACAAGGTTTACAAATAACATCTTACAATCAATTATTTTAAACTGATGGCAACTTAACTCTTATTACAAAGAAAACAAAGAGAAAACTAAAATACTCTATATTTTAACCTCATGCTTCCTATTTTTTGACTTTTTGTTATCTCTATTTATCTTTTATATTATTTATCTCTTAAGTTGCAGTTATTATTTTTGTTATATTTGTCTTTTAGTTTTTCTACTAAAAATATGAATGGTTTACACATCGCAATTACATTGTTAGAGTATTCTGTGTTTGTGTACTTTTAGCAGTGAGTTGTATACCTTCAAGATGATTTCTTGTTGCTCACTAACCTCTTTTTTTTCTCAGGTTGAACAAACTCCCTTTAGAATTTCTTGGAAAACAGGTCTGGTGTCAGTGAAATCTCTCACCTTTTGTTTGTTTGGGAAAGTCTTTATTTGTATTTGAAGGATAATTTTACAGGGTATAACATTCTAGTTGTGCTTTTCCTTCAGCACTTTGAAAATGTTATCCTACTCCCTCCTAGCCTCAGAAACCTATTGTCAGACTTGTCAGAGCTCCTTTATATGTGATTTGCTTTTTTTTTCTTTTACTGATTTAGGGTCATTTCTTTATCCTTGACCTGTAAGACTTTGATTATTATATGCCTTGTGGTAGTCTTACTTGGGTTGAATCCACTTGGTATTCTTTGAGCTTCTTGTACATGGATATTAATATTTTTCTCTGGATTTGGAAAGTTCTCTGTTATTATTTCTTTGAGTAAACTTTCTACTCTGATCTCTCTGTGTCTATATCTTCTTTAAGGCCAGTAACTCTAAGATTTGCCCCTTTGAGACTATTTGCTAGATGTTGTATGTGTGCTTCATTGTATTTTTTTCTCTTTTTTCTCTTTTGTGTACTTTGAAATAGCTTGTCTTTGAGTTCACTAATTATTTGTCCTGCTTGAGCAATTCTGCATTGAGGGACTCTAGTGCATTCTTCAGTTTGTCAATTGAATTTTTCAGCTCTAGAATTTCTGCTTGATTTAAAAAATTATTTTAATCTCTTTGTTAAATTTATTTGATAGAATTCTAAATTCCTTCTATGTGTTATCTTGAAGTTCATTGAGCTTCCTCAAGACAGCTAGTTTGAATTCCCTGTCTAAAAGGTCACATATCTTCATCACTCCAGGATTGATCACTGGTGCCTTATTTTGTCAATTTGGTGAGGTCATGTTTTCCTGGATGTTCTTGATGCTTGTGGATGTTCACTGATGTCTGTGCATTGACGAATTAGGTATTTATTTCAACCTTTGTGGTTTGGGCTTGTTTGTATTCATACTTCTTGAGAGGGCCTTCTAGTAGTTTAAAGGGGACTGAGTGTTGTGACCTAAGGCTGTGGTCACTGCGGCTGTTTCAGCACTATGGTACACCAGTGTTCCTGGTAAACCCAGGAATATTGCAACTCTTGGGTTACCAGGCAAAGTCTCTCACTGTATTTCCTCTGTTTCCTCCAAACAGAAGGAGTCTCTCTCTGTACTGGGCTGCCTGGAGCTGGGGGAGGGGTGATGCTGGTATTCCCATGGCCATCACAAATGGCATTATGCAGGTTCCCAGCTGAAGCCTTGCAAACCAGCACAGAACTGGGTTTCACCCAAGGCCCACAGCAAATACTGCCTTGCTTCCTCTTTTGCTTATTCAAGGCTCAATGCCATTTTAGTCAGAAGGTGGTGAATCTTGCCAAGACTGGGTCTGTCCTATCAGAGCTGTGGATTCCCTTCTGACTGAGGGTGGGTTTAGAAACACCATCCAGGAGCAAAGGCCTGGAATCAGGGGTTTCAAGGAATTTTTCTGGTACTTTATTTTACTGTGGCTGAGCTGGTATTCAAGTTGCAAGACAAAGTGCTCTGTACTCTTCCCTTGCCTTCCCCCAAGCAGAAATCTCTCTCTGAGCTTCACTGACTCAGTGACTCAGGAGTTGGGGGAGGGGTTATATAGGCATTGCATTCCCTTGGCTACTACAGCTGGTGTCACATTGAGTCATGTACACCCCAAGTTCACTGCCTCCAAGACCAGTGTAGCACCAGAATAAAAGCCCATATTTTAATAGTAATGTTTTCTTGCAGCAATATTATCTGGGCCTAAAGTGTATTTTTACAACCATCATTTATTTTATTTTACTTAATGTTTCTTTTTAGATAATAACCCTACTATTGTCCTAGCTTAGAAGATACTTATTGGGAGAATGTACTACATGCAAAATTTATTTAGCAGTAAATAGATCAAGATGTATATTCAACTATTCTCATAGAGTTTTGAAAGAAAGCACTCTTGGCAAATGCAAGATGTGAATTGTAATGTTACTTAGATATACCAACATGCCACTTCCTAAACCACATCACAGTCCCACCCACATAAAAGATTTTCAAATGTGGAGGTATAGGTAAATAAGTAGTATAATTTTAAATGTGTATTTTTGAATGAATTTAATATTCTAGAGAAAACTCTTAATACCTATTTTCAGTTTCCTTTATTATAAAAGGCCATTGACTTTTTGCTTTTGGAGGCCACTTCACATTCTTTCTGTACTGTAGAAGCCAAAATATTCAACCCAATTCTCAATCATAATTGACCTTTTGCTCTGAGATATCCTTATGTGGGAAAGATATTTGGGGAGCACTAGGCCCATACACATTAGTAATACTGTTAACAATAGTTTTAGTTGTACAGTTGTGTCAACATAGGCATTGTTTGGTGAGATAAACAGATATGTGATTGTGAAATCACACAAGTGAATACCTGGATGGGAGAATGAAAAGTTGAATATAGAGAGCATTTGAGCAGATAGCAGATTAAGAAAATGAACAGACTGTGCCTGCCCTGGGGAATCCCTCCTCCCACCCCCCATCACCTCCTGGGAAGCTAGGTATGCTTGTTCTCTAGTAAAGGGAACATTAACTAAATTTCTTAAAAAGTAATGAAAGAGAACAAACTGTAAAAAGGCAGCCAAATAAGGCAAACATCTGTTACTGAACATGTCTCACTTGACTTCCTTTTAATGTTCTTAGGAATAAATTTATGAACTAGGGAAGGTTTAGCACTAATTAGCTTGTTTTCATCAAACAAAATACACCAGACATGGATGTTGAATACAAATGAAAATTTCAGTAGTAATAATAAGAAGACTTAGAAAGTTCTAGTAGCCAGGGTTATGGCCACAGGCTTTGGATATTGTGGCTGTTAATATTGTGTTGGTTTAAATTTGCAGTATTTTTTTTAAATGATCAGGTAAAATGTTTTAAAAGTCATGTATTCATTAAACAATAGATGGATCTTTAGTTATATACCTTTAGGCTGATGAGCTGTTAGAATGATCTGCAATAACAAATATAGAGCTACATAAAGGCAAAGTTTTATAACACATGCAGCAGCAGTGGTAATAGTTACAGCTTATATTAGTTGTGTAGATATATAATCCTTTATTTGAAACTCTTGGGCCTACACATATGTAAGAATTCTGAAAATTTAAAATTTTAGAAAGGTAAGAAGATAAGTGGATTCACAATCAAACCAGTAATTACACTTGCTAATATTTGTAGCATATGCATATTCTCATCAAGTGGTAGATAGAGGCCACTATATAGGCCTTGTGTTGGTCAGCTTAGGTCAGGTTTTGCCACCCAAAATCAGGTGTTAAGTTTTACCTTTATATATATTATGAAAACTTTTTTGGTTTTCAGAGCTTTTTATACATTTCAGAGTCTTAGAATTGTAGACTTGCAGCAGTAGTACTAATAATAACAGTAGTGGTGGCAGTAGTTGGTGAAGGAGACTAGGAAAGATAAGGAGATGAGGACGCACATGTCACAGGTGTGCATATACACATAGTTCAAAAGCAGTGAAAAACACAGCTATAATATTAAGAAGAGGAAAAAGGGTAAAAATGCTGAATTTAGGATGTTGTCTACATTTTGCTGTAATTTTTTTTTCTATATTGACAACAAAGACTCATACAGTCCTTAATTTCTTTGTTCTGAAGTTGACTTTTTTTTTTTAACTATTCCTCTTCTCTGAAATCAGTGGCCATTCTCATTTTGTCAGGGAGTTTTCTTGTTGATTTCTCTTTTTCTATTTTCTAACACCCTCTAACACTCATTAGAAGACCACTTTTTCTACCACAGGCAAGGCATGTTGCATTGGCTAGATGGAAGGATTGAGTCTATCATAGGGACACAAACCCAAAACTGTGACTCTTAGGGGATCCTAGTAATGAAGAATAGGTCACAAATGGTGAGACCTGGTTGGTAGTAATTAAGAGGCTACACCAAGTTGTTGTGTTAGGAAATTATAAAACAATTGATGCCATATCAATGATGAAAGATTATTTTAAGACAGTTGAGTCCTCAGTGATTGATTCCTAATCTGATTCCAGTTTTACTCTTGAACCAAACATGTAAGATAACTTTTAACCTTTGCCTTTTAACATTTGTCTTTTATCATGTGTTAAGATTTTTTAAAATTATGCTTTCAATACTTATATTTTGAAGAAAACTCAGATGAGCAAAATAAAGAGAAAATCAACCATAATTACTATAACAATACTTAGTGGCCACTATTTTTTCAAATTAACCTTTCTATATAGATTAATATATTTCTTACCATGAAATAAATGACAGCAATATCCTATTTATGGAAATAACTTGTTTTTTGGTTATTTGGCAATTGAACAGAGCTTTGGCAAAATGTAGTACACTATATTTGTAGTTAAGTTATTGTAGATTTAATTTTTTACAATAAATTCCTTGCAGTGGAATTTTTGGTACCTCTCCTACTCCTACCTTTTTCCTTTGTATTTTGTTATATATGGTTAAATTGCCCTCTAAATAGTGTTGGTTTTGAATTTTTTGGATTTTTATTGCTTCTTCTATTCCAAAACAAGAGTGCATAAAAAAGGACAAACTGATAATCAACAAAAAATAGATAATCATATATGAAAAGGGCTTAGCATGGTATTAGTGGGTTATAGTAAGGACTTACTATATTATAGCTATTATTAACTTTATTAAGTTATTTAAAAATTTATTACATTATTTCATGAATAATTTATGATACCTTATAAAAATCTATACAACATGAAATATTACATAAATGAAGACATCAGGGGTTATGGAAAAGAAAATAGAAAATAAGAAATTAAGATTTAGGTAAGTATACAGATTCAGAATTTGGTATATTAGATGTTTGTAATAAGAAGGCCATAAATTTGGCCGTGGACATTTTAGCAATTAATAAAAGAGGGTAAGTTTTTGGTCACTTGATTCAGAGTGTTTCCATAAAATAAACGCAAACAAACCAGAAATATGTGTCATGTAGATGATAATAAAGAGGGTACTATGAAATAAATGTAATGAATACAGTTATCTCACTATATGCATAGGGGATTGGTTCCAGTATCCAAATTAGTATTCGAGGTTCTGAATTGATATTCAGCAGATACCAAATTCCAGTAATGTTCAAATTCCTTATGTAAAGTGGCATACTATTTTTTGTATAATCTGTACAAGCCCTCCCCTATACTTTACATCATCTCTAGCTTACTTATAATACATAATATGATGTAAATAGCATGTAAATAGTTTTTATACTGTATTGTTTTTTCCTTGTATATTTTTATTGATGTATTCTAATTTCTCGTTGTTTAGTAAAAAGCATATTTTTTCTTTTTTTTTTTTTTTTTTTTGTCGCCCAGGCTGGAGCGCAGTGGCACAATCTTGGCTCACTGTAAGCTCCGCCTCCCGGGTTCACGCCATTCTCCCGCCTCAGCCTCCCAAGTAGCTCAGACTACAGGCGACAGCCACCACGCCTGACTAATTTTGTTTTTGTATTTTTAGTAGAGACGGGGTTTCACCGTGTTAGCCAGGATGGTCTCGATCTTGGGATCTGCCTGCCTTGGCCTCTCAAAGTGCTGGGATTACAGGCATGAGCCACCGCGCCAGGCCATATAAAACATATTTCTAATCCAATGTTGGTTGAATCTGCAGATGCAGAACCAGATGAAGGGTTGACTGTAATGTACTAAAACATATACTTTCATAAAATGTAGTAGTATACTAAATGTTGACCCTCATTTTATTTATAAGCCTGAAGTACAATTTGGTGAAAGCACTTTTTCAGGGATGGGAGGGCTTAGAGGTGTTGGTTGTTGTGGAGGTGGTGTGGAAACAATATTATCCTAGAACAGTTGGTCGTCCTTATCCATAGGTTCTGCATCTATGGATTCAACCAAATGCAGATCAAAAATATACATATTTTTAAATTGCATCTGTACTGAACATGTACAGCCTTTTCTTCTTGCTGTTTCTCCCTAAATGGTAGCACAACTGTTTTGTTTCATTGTGTCATTGTTTAAGTTTACCTACATGCTGGCTTAGTTTCAATCAGAGATAGATTTGAAGGTATCTTGAGGAATGGAGGAATGTATTTTTGGCCCTGTCTACTCTATGTGTTGTCCATGGGTCAGTAGCATTGTTATCACCTAGGAATTTGTTAGAAAGATTCTAATCTTCTAATCTTAGGTCCCAGCCCGATCTATTGAATCAGAAGATCTGTAGTGATTTATAAGCACTTTAAAGTTTGAGAAACACTGTTTTAAAAGATTCTCCATAAATTATTCACATTAAGTGAGCTTTTTATAAGTAGTGACAATGTGTACGAGGTAATTTTTTTCCTGATAAATACCTGAAGTGCAGAAATTCTATGAATTTAGTCATTGTGTGGGGTAGGAATGCCATTTCTCTGTGAAAGTTGAGGAATGAGATAATACCCAATCAAAGATATTAGAAATACATTCTCAAATAATGAAATAGGACCACAGTTGATGTCAAAATTGTCCTGAAAAAATTTTCTAGGTATTTGGATAATAGAGCTTTCACCCAGATGGATTAATCTGGACAGTTTCAACAAACTGATATATTTATGTAAGCATATCCTGAGTCTCTAGGAATCAGATCCGTGGTGATTTATAAGCACATTGAAGTTTGAGAATCATTCTTTTAGATAATTCTCCATCAGAGTCCTCCAAACAAGGAGTGATAGTCAAGTTGTAATTGGGAGGCTAGGGCAGCCTTTGACCCCAGTGCCTTTGATAGGCAGCTGTAAATCCCATTAAGATTAATTCCCAGAGACTCCCTAGAAAATCACTGGATCTTTTCTAAAGGAATAAACAATGTAGAAGACAAAATTGCTGATGGCTAAGTAATTAAAAATCTAATGTGAACTCCATCATTATCTTTTTTCACTGTATTCTATTTTCATAGATTAAAAACTTCCCGCCTGTATCCCCAATTTAACTTTCTGAATTTTGGTATATTGAATTTGAATCCTATCCATCTCTTACTTATGGAATCAAGGGAAGGATACTAAATTTTTCAGTTTCCTCAGGAAAAGTGGAAATAAAACATCTGCTTTGCAGAGTCTTGGTGAAGATTGAAGATAATACACATAAAGCACAAGGCAGACTCTAATTGTTAGATATAACAATTTTTTATTAGCTCTGTGATGCAGCTCCAGACCTGCCACGTAGAATATAAATCTCATAATAATAGCAGAACTCATCATTTAGAATGGATTTACATTCAAATTAGTCCTCAATAAATACACAAGTAAAAAGGATTTAATTCGATTTTTAAAAATACTGTCCAATTTATAACTGAATTGTTTAGTAAAAATTAACTACTCAGGGGGCTCCCTTAAAATCCAAAGGTGGGAATCATGTTCAAAAGCAAATAACTTGCATAGTTTTAAGTATCAACTTCAACATCAATATGAACACAAGTATATTAAAATGCCCCCAAATTATAAAATGGAAATTCATTTCTTCAATCTGGCCTTTTAGATATAAAGTTTTAATTCCAGCCAATAAAAAATTAGTAACAAGTATTACAGACTTGTACAATTTAAAACTTCAGAATAAAGTAATTAACACCTGGCAGCAGCTGTTCATTGCTTGGCATTCTTCAATCTTAGAGTTTCCAAAGCATACACAAACCACAGGAGAAATTTGGATCCACATAACCTTATAGGAAGTTGTCATATATCTGCCAAACGTATTACCACAGGGTGATATGCTCAATTTAAGCTCAAGGAATATTTCCACAATTTTATTAAAATTTTTCTATTGTTTTATATGTCAATCATTTAAGAGTATATATATGTATACCTGCATGTGTGTGAAGGAATAATACTCAAAAAAAAAGACCCACAAAGCTTAAGGGGTAGAACATTGTTTGTCTTTTTCCTTCTCTTCATATCCTGAGGAAACATCTCCTTAATTTTATGTTAATGATTCTCTTACATTTCCATACAATTTTAGCACATGTACACATATTCCTAGTTAGTGTCTTGTTTACTTTTGCTTGTTTATAACTTTGTGTAAATGTAATTATAATTTCTTCACTCTCTTTTTTGCTCAACAATGTATTTTTGTGATCCATTCATCTTTATTGATGTGGTTGTATAATCCCATGGTTCATTCATTTCCATCAATGCACAACATCCCATTGAATAAATATACTATAATTTATTTATCCTTTCTATAGCTGAGAGATATTTTGCTTTTAAAAAAGTTATTTCTTATTGTGAAAAAACCTGCTACAAGCATTCTTTTATATGTCTCCCGAAGCATAGGTGTCAGTTTCTCTAGGGCAAGCACTCCTAACATCAATATGAACCTGCATTCTGTTGCATCTGGGATGTCATATTATATATATATATGCCATCCAGTCTTGGGGGCAGATGGGCAAGGTCAGTGCAGTGGGAGCTCTATAACTGATTATTGATTACCTGAATAATTGATTGCCACTAGCTATAAGCAGCTCCTCTATTTACTCCACCAACTCCTATAATCCCTAACCATGGAATGGCTGTGCTGTCAAGTGAGCATAGGTTCAACTTTTCCAGGCAATAGCAAACAGCTTTCCACTTCCAGAAGCAGTTTATGAGAGTCTCCATTGCTTCATATACTTGGAAACAATTAATACTGTCAAAGTTTTAACCTTTGCCAATTTGGCACTTATGAAATTATATTTCTTTGTGATTTTAATTTACATTTTCCTAATGACAAATAAAGTTGAGAATTTTTGTATGTTTCTGGGCAATTATTTATTTCTCCTTTGTGAACATCTCATGGTTGTATTTTAAAAAATGTATTTAAATGCATTTCTTTCATTTCATTTTTTGCCCTTTATTTGTTCTTTCCATTTTGTACTTGTTATTTGCCCAAGAAGAAGAAATAAAAATAATTCTCTTATTTTTTGAAGTATCCTCTTGTGCTATCTTTCATTTCTGCTAGCTTGGCATTTATATTTTTGTTTTTATTTTTTAATAAATGGTTAATCTGTAGATTTTAATGTATTTTACCTTAAACTCCCTACTTTCTTATTCCACACAACGATGGTAGATTGACTTAACTTCTAGAGTTTAGTTCTTTCTTTTTTAAAACCTCAAAAATTAGACACAATTATTTTGTTTCATTGTGTCGTTGTTTGTTAAAGTTTATCTATATGCTTCCCAATTATTTTATTTGCCATTACATCTAGCATCACAGACCTCTTGGATAATTTTCCTTCTTGAACTACATCCTTTAGAAGTGCCATTAGTAAGGGTCAGTTGGCAAAATACTTCAATTGATAATGTATTTTTTCTTCCTCTCAACCATACTTTCTTAGCATTTTGAAGTTATCATTCTTCTGTCTTCTGGCTACCATTGTTGCTGGGGGTAAAAAAAGATGTTTGTCAAGTTGTCTCTCTTTTGTAGGTAATATGTCTATGTACTCTATTTCTAAGAACTTTTTTTTTGTCATGAGGTGTGTAAGTGTAGTTTATTTTGTTGTTATGAGGTGTGTAAGTGTAGTTTATTTTGAACTATTCTCCATTTTTGTTGGGCTTCTTATATCTGAAAATCAGTGTCTTTCAGTAATTCTGAGAACAAAAACCCCAAACACAAAACTCTGCCATTATATTTTCAAATACTGTCTGTCTTCTATAATTTCTGTATAAAACTCTAATTAAAATTTTATGAATCTCTAGGTCTAGTGCAGTGGCTCACACCTGTAATCCTAGCACTTTGGGAGGCTGAGGCAGGCAGATCATTTGAGGTCACGAGTTAGAGACCAGCTTGGCTAACATGGCAAAACCCCATCTCTACTAAAAATACAAAAATTAGCTGGCCATGGTGGCGTGGGCCTGTAATCCCAGCTACTCGGGAGGCTGAGGCAGGAGAATTGCTTGAACCTGGGAGGTGGAGGTTGTAGTGAGCTGAGATCATACCAATGCACTCCAGCCTGGGCAGCAGAGCGAGACTCTATCTCAAAAACAAAAAACAAAGAAAAAAAGCACAACAACAAGAAAAAACTTTATAAATCTTTAATCAGACAAATGTGAGTCATTCAATTGTCATTGTCCTTACTCTTTTTCCTCTTTTAATATTTGCCATCTCTTTCTGTCTCACTGCTGCAACCTAGGTGTTTTTTTATCCCTCATAGTTTATATTATCAGTTCTCTTTTTATCTGTGTCTATTATTTTCTTTTGTTATTCACTGAATTTCCAATTTTAAATATTATGTGTTTTATTTTTATAATGTCGATTGTTACTTTCCAAGTCTGCTCAGTCAATTTTGATAATTTTTTTTGTTTCTTCAATATATTTCTCTAAACATGTAGAAATGGAATTTCATTCTTATTTTATAGTCTTTACATAATAATTACAGTATATTTAGTCTTTGAGGTTCTGAATATGTAGGTTCTGATTCCTTGATTGCTGCTTTCTCATGTTTACTGAATTTCCTGATTTTGAGCTAATTTTTCTTGGTATTTTATTGTGAGAATTCTTAGAAGTGTGGGTTAAACTGCAATCTAAAAATGATTGATAAAATTGCTTTTACCCAGTGCTTTAGGGCACTACTAAGGTGAGACAACTTTTATTCTAAATTTTCAAACTTTTTTGGTGGGGGCCCAGATTTGTACGGCATTACAGTAATCTGAATTGAACCTCTAAATCTAGGTAAATGGTATATTGTCATTAGAAATTCCTAGAAAACTTCTAGGAATTTTATCTCTTCACTCAGAGCCAAGGCCACAGTGTGTATGTGGTCTCACAGTCTCTCTCTTTCTACAGGACATTTAAAAAATCTTGGTTTATGCCTTAAGTCTACTGCCCTTCCAAGACTTGGGTTTTATGAGTACTTTTCTTAGATTTGACTTTCCTTGGTACTCTGGGTTCCAATGTTTACCTCTCAACTGCAGGGCATGCAGGTCATTAAAACCTAGACTCTAAGCTGTCAGAAATTGCCATACCATCCCCAAGGCAAAGACAAGCTTCTGAAATTATAAAACAGTAATTTCAACATTTCAGTGTTTGGCCAGAATGGAATTCCATTACTTTCCCATCAGCTCAGCCATGCATTAAACAACATCTTTTATTTTTATGTTTTTAGAATTTATTGTTGGATTATGTTGAGATTTGTTACTATGAACATATTCCTAGAAACAGCAATCCCCTTGTATCTTTTTTCAAATAGATTCCAACCTTTACAGGGGCTTATATTGGGATGCAAAGCTCCCTATCCATTTCCCTCCTTCTCTTCAGCCTGTGTATTGCCTCCTACACTTAGCTTAAATGTCTACATAAATGATTAAATTTCTGTGGTTTTAATTTTTTGTGAAGGTTAAAGAAATTTTCTCTAGTGACTGGTAGATAAGCAACATGTATTTTTCTGTGTCATCTTCTCCAGTCTTTCCTAATCTGAATGTTGAATGGCTTTTTGAAGCCATGGCTATTACAAAGTGACCAGCATTATCTTTAGGATACCTTCACCTCTGTAAAGAAATGTAAATAAAGGGAATACTACACTTAAGACCACCTTCCAAAGTGGAGGCTGGTCTGGCTCCATGAGAAGATTTTGCATAACTCCCATGGGTGGTTATATGGCTTTTAAACCATCCTGTGGTTTGTTTGCATTCCTGGAAGCTCTCAAATTCAAGAATGTAAAGAGATTGGCTTGTGAAAAATCTCAGAAAGATGTGTTTGGTACCTCCTGATTCTGCATGTGTGCAAGTGATTGACATTTTTTCTGTTTAAATCGTATTAGTAGCAGCATAAAGAATGCAGCCCACTGCTATTTCACAGAAGGCGCTAGGGACATGACTGACTTCTTCAGGGCAAATGCTAGTGTTAATAGCCCAGCCTGGCAGAAAAAAACTCTTCAGTTTACTTCACATGTTTTAATATATAATTTGTAATTTTATATGTATTTGCAATTAATAATTTTCTCTTCACAGTACCTATTTAAACAAACATTTCGTATTATGTGAGTGATGTGTTTATTAATGTTTCTGGTAGGGTCACAAGGTTGTTTAAAACCGAGAAAATCCCTTCCTACTTAAAAAATAAAGGGATGGAGGAAGATCTACCAAGCAAATGGAAAACAAAAAAAAGCAGGGGTTGCAATCCTAGTCTCTGATAAAACAGACTTTAAACCAACAAAGATCAAAAGAGACAAAGAGGGCCATTACATAATGGTAAAGGGATCAATTCAACAAGAAGAGCTAACTATCCTAAATATATATGCATCCAATACAAGAGCACCCAGATTCATAAAGCAAGTCCTTAGAGACCTAAAAGAAACTTAGACTCCCACATAATAATAATGGGAGACTTTAACACCCCACTGTCAACATTAGACAGATCAACGAGACAGAAAGTTAACAAGGATATCCAGAAATTGAACTCAGCTCTGCACCAAGTGGACCTAATAGACATCTACAGAACTCTCCACCCCAAATCAACAGAATATACATTCTTCTCAGCATGACATCACACTTATTCCAAAATTGACCACATAGTTGGAAGTAAAGCACTCCTCAGCAAATGTAAAAGAACAGAAATTACAACAAACTGTCTCTCAGACCACAGTACAATCAAACTAGAACTCAGGATTAAGAAACTCACTCAAAACCGCTCAACTACATGGCAACTGAACAACCTGCTCCTGAATGACTACTGGGTACATAATGAAATGAAGGCAGAAATAAAGATGTTCTTTGAAACTAATGAGAACAAAGACACAACATACCAGAATCTCTGGGACACATTTAAAGCAGTTTGTAGAGGGAAATTTATAGCACTAAATGCCCACAAGGGAAAGCAGGAAAGATCTAAAATTGACACCCCAACATCACAGTTAAAAGAACTAGAGAAGCAAGAGCAAACACATTCAAAAGCTAGCAGAAGGCAAGAAATAACTAAGATCAGAGCAGAACTGAAGGAGGTAGAGACACAAAAGCCCTTCAAAAAATCAATGAATCCAGGAGCTGGTTTTTTGAAAAGATCAACAAAATTGATAGACCGCTAGCAAGACTAATAAAGAAGAAAAGAGAGAAGAATAAAGTAGATGCAATAAAAATGATAAAGGAGATATCACCACTGATCCCATAGAAATACAGACTGCCATCAGAGAATACTATAAACACCCCTATGCAAATGAACTAGAAAATCGAGAAGAAATGGATAAATTCCTCGACACATACACCCTCCCAAGACTAAACCAGGAAGAAGTTGAATCCCTGAATAGACCAATAACAGGCTCTGAAATTGAGGCAATAATTAATAGCCTACCAATCAAAAATAGTCCGGGACCGGATGGATTCACAGCCAAATTCTACCAGAGGTACAAGGAGGAGCTGGTACCATTCCTTCTGAAACGATTCCAATCAATAGAAAAAGAGGGAATCCTCCCTAACTCATTTGATGAGGCCAGCATCATCCTGATACCAAAGCCTGGCAGAGACACAACAAAAAAAGAGAATTTTAGACCAATGTCTCTGATGAACATCGATGCAAAGATCCTCAATAAAATACTGAAAAACCGAATCCAGCAGCACATCAAAAAGCTTATCCACCATGATCAACTGGGCTTCATCCTTGGGATGCAAGGCTGGTTCAACATATGCAAGTCAATAAACATAATCCATCCTATAAACAGAACCAAAGACAAAAACCACATGATGATCTCAGTAGATGCAGAAAAGGCCATCGACAAAATTCAACAACGCTTCATGCTAAAAACTCTCAATAAACTAGGTATTGATGGGACATATCTCAAAATAATAAGAGCTATGTATGACAAACCCACAGCCAATATCATACTGAATGGGCAAAAACTGGAAGCATTCCCTTTGAAAACTGGCACAAGACAGGGATGCCCTCTCTCACCACTCTTATTCAACATAGTGTTGGAAGTTCTGGCCAGGGCAATCAGGCAGGATAAAGAAATAAAGGGTATTCAATTAGGAAAAGAGAAAGGCAAATTGTCCCTGTTTGCAGATGATATGATTGTATATTTAGAAAACCCCATCATCTCAGCCCAAAATCTCCTTAAGCTGGTAGGCAACTTCAGCAAAGTCTCAGGATACAAAATCAATGTGCAAAAATCACAAGCATTCCTATACACCAATAACAGACAAACAGAGAGCCAAATCGTGAGTGAACTCCCATTCACAATTGCTTCAAAGAGAATAAAATACCTAGGAATCCAATTACAAGGGATATGAAGGACCTCTTCAAGGAGAACTACAAACCACTGCTCAACGAAATAAAAGAGGACACAAACAAATTCAAGAACATGCCATGCTCATGGATAGGAAGAACCAATATCGTGAAAATGGCCATACTGCCCAAGGTAATTTATAGATTCAATGCCATCCCCATCAAGCTACCAATGACTTTCTTCAAAGAATTGGAAAAAACTATTTTAAAGTTCATATGCAACCAAAAAAGAGCCCACATAGCCAAGACAATCCTAAGCCAAAAGAACAAAGCTGGAGGCATCACACTACCTGACTTCAAACTATACTACAAGGCTACAGTAACCAAAACAGCATGGTACTGGTACCAAAACAGAGATATAGACCAATGGAACAGAACAGGGCCCTCAGAAATAATACCACCCATCTACAACCATCTGATCTTTGACAAACCTGACAAAAACAAGAAATGGGGAAAGGATTCCCTATTTAATAAATGGTGCTGGGAAAACTGGCTAGCCTATGTAGAAAGCTGAAACTGGATCCCTTCCTTACACCTTATACAAAAATTAATTCAAGATGGATTAAAGACTTAAATGTTAGACCTAAAACCATAAAAACCCTAGAAGAAAACCTAGGCAATACCATTCAGGACATAGGCATGGGCAAGGACTTCATGTCTAAAACACCAAAAGCAATGGCAACAAAAGCCAAAATTGACAAATGGGATCTAATTAAACTAAAGAGCTTCTGCACAGCAGAAGAAACTACCATCAGAGTGAACAGACAACCTACAGAATGGGAGAAAAGTTTTGCAATCTACCCATCTGACAAAGGGCTAATATCCATAATTTACAAAGAACTTAAACAAATTTACAAGAAAAAAAATCAAACAACCCCATCAAAAAGTGGGTGAAGGATATGAACAGACACTTCTCAAAAGAAGACATTTATGCAGCCAACAGGTATATGAAAAAATGCTCATCATCACTGGCCATCAGAGAAATGCATATCAAAACCACAATGAGATACCATCTGACACCAGTTAGAATGGCGGTCATTAAAATGTCAGGAAACAGCAGGTGCTGGAGAGGATGTGGAGAAATAGGAACACTTTTACACTGTTGGTGGGACTGTAAACTAACTCAACCATTGTGGAAGACAATGTGTGGCGATTCCTCAAAGATCTAGAACTGGAAATACCATTTGACCCAGCCATCCCGTTACTGGGTATATACCCAAAGGACTATAAATCATGCTGCTGTGAAGACACATGTACACGTATGTTTATTGTGGCACTATTCACAATAGCAAAGACTTGGAACCAACCCAAATGTCCATCAGTGATAGACTGGATTAAGGAAATGTGGCACATATACACCATGGAATACTATGCAGACATAAAAAAGGATGAGTTCATGTCCTTTATAGGGACATGGATGAAGCTGGAAACCATCATTCTCAGCAAACTATCGCAAGGATGGAAAACCAAACACCGCATGTTTGTGCTCATAGGTGGGAATTGAACAATGAGAACACTTGGACACAGGGTGGGGAACATCACACACCGGGGCCTGTCGTGGGGTGGGAGGAGAGGGGAGGGATAGCATTAGGAGATATACCTAATGCTAAATGACGAGTTAATGGGTGCAGCACACCATTATGGCACATGTATACATATGTAACAAACCTGCACGTTGTGCACATGTACCCTAGAACTTAAAGTATTAAAAAAAAAAACCTTTAACCACATTTGGATGTAAGTGTTGGGGCATAATAGGCCAATTATAAATTACATATTTTATAATTTTATGCTAATAGGAGTTAAATGAAATGTATCTATAATTAAGATGCAAAAATTGAAGGCTAAAGGTTTATGGTTTATTAATGAAAGAATTTAATCATTAGACCATGAAGGAATTGTCAAAAGAAAAAATCATCCAATGATATTTGAAAAGAGGAAGGGAATTGATGAATTATACAGGTGCTTTTTTAGAAAGAAGCCTCAGGTGTAAAAATATTGTGTAAATTATCAGAAGCTTGGTACCAGTTAAACTGTGGGATTTGAGAAAATATGTGGGGAAAAGGAGTATGAAAAGTAGTTTTCAATACATCTATTTAGGTTGTTACAAAAATTTGAAAATTTTTCCAGGGGAGTTTAATAAATGACTTACATATTCAGCCAAGTGTTTAGAATGTGTCACTCCAAATGCATTGGCCTGGGAAGACCAGGTTTTTAAAGAAGGATGATAAATCATTCTACTGTAAAGACACATGCACACATATGTTTATTGCAGCACTGTTCCCAATAGCAAAGACTTGGAACCAACCCAAATGCCCATCAATAATATACTGGATAAAGAAAATGTGGCACATATACACCATGGAATACTATGCAGCTATAAAAAAGGATGAGCTCATGTTCTTTGCAGGGACATGGATGAAGCTGCAAACCATCATTCTCAGCAAACCAACACAGGAACAGAAAACCAAACACCGCATGTTCTCACTCATAAGTGGGAGTTGAACAATGAGAACACGTGGAGACAAGGAGGGGAACATCACACACTGGGGCCTGTTGGCAGGCAAGGGGCTAGGGGAGGGATAGCATTAGGAGAAAAACCTAATGCAGATGATGGATTGATGGGTGCAGCAAACCACCGTGGCATGTGTGTACCTATGTAACAAATCTGCACGTTCTGTACATGTATCCCAGAACTTAAAGTATAATAATAAAAAAAGAAGTTGAAAGAAGCAGGTAGTGGCTGTGTAAAGAAGAGAGAAAGAATTTAAGAGAAAATAGAGGTGAAACATCAAGGCAGAATAGACTTGAGATGTGAATATATAAGTATGTAGAAGACTAAGACTTAGAAAAACACCAGACCCCTTATAACAAAGGCGATATTTACTTTTCAAAAAGGAAAGCAAAAAAAAAAAAAAAAAAAAAAGGAAAGAAAAAGAAAAAATCAATTGCTAATTATGTTAGGTAGAAAACATCAATGGAGGTTGCAAAGGCAGTGAAGTTGGAAGAGAGAAAATAGAATCACAGAGGACATCTAAAGAAAGGAAATCCTCAGGAATGTTTGTCTGAGATTGTTTTACTTAACAGCCTTCACATTTGCCACCCCTTATTATGGAGAATGTGCCAATTCAGTTAGTGTGGCCAAGAAGGAAGGACTTGAAAAAAAATTAAGTTGGCAAGTGTAAACAGTAGTAGCACAGAAGGACAGTGTGTCCCAATCCAAGTGTATTGTTTTGTGTAAAAGTATGAAATATCAAGATTAACAATTTTTTTCTGGCCATTAGTATTTTTATAGCCATGAAAATGTGTCACGGAACATCTTGAGGGTAACATTTAAAATATAGGTCCTGCTTCCTGCTTTATTATCATTTACGTGTTGTACATACATTTAAAAAAGTACAGTATTATTCTTGAGGATTATTGTTTACTTTGAAAAAGGAAACATGATCAGGGAATTCTAAATGTAACAAATATTGAGAGATGATGCACAACAATTTTCCGGGTTATTGTTGTGTTCCCGAAGAAAGGTCAATGTTAGTTCTTAAGAAATGAATGCCATGAAATGAAATTAACACTTACTAGTAAGATTGCATCTGAGATGGCAGCATAAGTCAGAATGAAGCTTAACTCAGTAAAAGAGATTTGTGATTTGTTTAAAATGTTTTAGAAATCAGTGTATGTCAATGCTGAGTATTTTTGCAGGATAAACACACTTTCTTCCACGTTTCATCTTTACATTGGCTCTTTATATCTCTTGAGAGTTTATAGAAGAGACATTTTTGGCTTTAGTTGTCAATGACACCTTTGAAACTTAAAATGCAAAACTAAAATAATCACTTTCCTTGTGGTATCATGAGCACACCATATATCACTGACCAATAAATTTTTGTTACTGACTTCTTAGAGCGCCTGAGGGAGACAACAACACTAACAACTCAAAATCCTCTAACCATTTTACTCATTTATCAAGTTTACTTCAAATTCCTCTTCCCTATTTTTTAAAAGCTATTTTATACAAAAATTGTCCTGGAAGATTATAAAGTAGATATGCAAGCCATCAGTGCCTCTAGCTATCAATTTTACATTTGGACCACACTGAATGACCAGACAGGCAATGGCCCAGTTTTTCTGGGGTCTTGTAGAATTATCTTCCTCAGTTATTCTTCTTATCTTTGACTAATATTGAAGGATTATATAAGAAAAATCCATAAATTGTTGGAAGTGATGCTGTTGAAGCTGGTATATTATGCCAGGTTTATTTGAAAAACCTATGGAAGCAATTTTTCACTGAAAATAAGCTTGCTTTGTTACAGACATTGTGAATGTTAGAACTACTGTTTTATTTGTTACTGTGTGTTTTAGTGTGTTAGGGATACCATAAGAAAATACTGCAGACTAAACAACATAAATTTATTTTCTTACAGTTCTGGGGGCTGGAAGTCCAAGATTAAGGTGTCCGTGGGGTTGGTTTCTCCTGATGTTTCTCTCCTTGGCTTGAAGATGGCCATCTTCTTATTGTGTCCTCACGTGGCCTTTTCTTGGGTATCTTTTCCTCGTCTTATAAAGTCATCAGTCCTGCTGAATTAGGCCCCGCCCTTTTGACCTCATTCAGCCATAGTTACTTCATTAAAAACCTTATCTTCAAGTACAGTCACATTGAGGGATTAGGGCTTTGACATATGGATTTAGGGGAAGCACAGTTCAGTCCATAACACCTCAATAGTTAGGTTTTTGAGAGCCAAATTTCAAATATCACAAATTATCAGAGCATATTTGGCATTATTTTTCTACCCATATTTTCCCCTTCACTGGATTTTATTTCCCTTTTGCATATGTACTGTATTTATTAAAAGGCATCTTAAATCTCTTTTGTAAGACAGAGGACAAATAAATAAATAAATAAATAAAATTCTGATCTATAATATAGTTGTAAGGATATTTGCTCATTAAAATAACTAGTAGGAACTGTATTCCTAGGTGCTAAAAGGTTCTGAAGGAGGTTCAACAGTCATACCCCTCTGAGTATACTAAAAAATGTATATAAATGTGCAGATTCATAATATATATTATAATGATTCTCCCTTTGATAATATAACAGAACGTCAATGGAATTAAAATTTTATAGGTGATAACATTGTTTTTCTACTTATGTCAACTCTTCTTTTCCTTATTATAGAAAACCTTTAAAACCCTTATTAAAAAGGAGCGACAACCTATCAAGCCAGAACCAAAATCACAACCCAGGTATATCTTTTATATAATAGAAAAGTGTAAATTAATGCACTCATTTTTGTTGTTATCAATGTAATTGCTGACTTTAATAACTAGGTTTAAGGAAGTATAGGTTGTTGAAAGCTCAGGTTTTAATACATATTTTTCAATGTGGCCTTTTAATTTGACGGAGGAAAGGAGAAAAATACAGTTTTTTGAGTGTTTTAGTAATCAGTTAGTAGACCCAGCTGAAGTTTTACTTTTCAGTATCTAGGAGAAAGCAGTGGAAACATTTAATTTGCCATAAATGACAGTAAATGCCGTAAATGACAGTAAATGACAATGCCGTAAATGACACTGCATATGTTTTAGCTATTTTTTTTTGTTTGTTAGAAACTATGTACCACAATTCACTAGGGTTAAGCATGCATTTCAATGACTCTATTAAAAACTCTTAGATTGCTTTGCTACTTTATATACTTTGTTGATAAACTGTTTTGAAAACATTGATTTTGTGAGAGAGATTAGAGCGTGAGATTGAAAGAAGCAATTGTGGAAAGTTAACAATGAAGTTTCGAAAAGGGCAGATTTTATACTTGTATTTTCTTATTCACTGGGAATACATTCATTTATTAATTATAAATGATTATAAGCTAAAAAAAGAATATTTGAAGGCACTGGAGAGTGATGGCATGTGGACAGAAACTGGAGGGAAACTATTTGACTCTTGAAAGAAAGGAACTGCAATGGGTAAGATCCCCATTTATCTAGCTTTTCCAACGTCATGCAGTGTAAGATAGTGAGAACTTAGGCAGAAAACCTCAGTGTTAATGGTGTGAAATGTCAGAAGACAGAGTTTAGAGCTGCCAAAATGACTAAAAGTTGATTAGGAAATTTCATAAAAGGAGAAAACCACAGAGAGAGGAGTCCCAATTCTGTGTACAAACTCTTCTAAAATTATGGGCTGACTCCTGAATTGTGCATGTGTAGAAAAGACTTCAAGAAAGTACATCCTAAAGTAACAGCTTGCATAGTTTTCAATTGCTTCATCTGTTTACATAGAAAGAAAAAAAGATTTTTCTCTTTCTATGGATGTTGGAATTAGCAGATAATGGCTTTAAAGCAGTTACTATAAATGTTCAAAACTTAAAAAAGGTGTTCATAATAACAGGAGATCCCCAGTGCAGAAATAAAAGCTATACAAAAGAATCAAATGAAAATTCTACATATAGCAGATTTTAACAAACCATTAATTAATTTGCCAAAAATGACAGTTATAGAAGACTACATCCAATAATGTAGAATATACATTATTTTTAAGGGCACATGTAACAGGTTTTATAAAGATAAGAACAGAAAGCAATGAAATAGAAATTAGGGAAACAATAAATCAAATTAACAAAGCACATTAATCTTTGAAAAGATTAATAAAATTTATGTGCTCTTTTTAAGACCAGTTTTTAAAAAAGAAGAGATAAAACACAAATTACCAATATCAGGAATGAAAGAGAGGGCATAATTGTATATCCTATAGACATTAGAATAATAATAAAATAATATGTAAATAACTTCATGTCATTTGCATTTAAGAGGAAGTAGTCTAGTTTTTTGAAAACAGATAGCATACCAAAACTGACACAAGAAGAAATAGAAAATCTGAATGACCTGTGTCTACTAAAGAAATTGAATTTGTTTTCAAAAACCTTCCCACGGAGAGACTTCCTCTAAAGCAAATAAATTATAACAGTCACATGTACATTATTTTGAAAATATTTGATGGTGTTCAAAGCAGTTCGTGTTCTTGCATAAGTCCTTTTCCTAGAAATATTCTTTACCTGGTTAATTTGGGAAGCCTTTTTTCCTTACAGATGTTACTAAGTTAAAATTACTCCAGCCATTTCAATGATAAAAAATTGGACAGCCTCCACGATGAATGTTTATTATAGTTATTTCCCTGGAGCCAGCCAGCCAGTCAGATAATCTGGACTCTAAACATTTTTCTGTATAGTCTACCCTGTGTAAGTTTTTCAGGGATGTCTTAAATATTTTAAAGAATGATGGCTGAAGGAATTTTAGACATCACTTGGTTCAATCCTTCTATTTTCCAATTAGGAAAATTGGGATAAAAAAGATTTAGTGACTTCTTCAAGGTCCTGAAAGTAAAAAACAGAACTGTGACTAGAATCTAAATCTCACCTCACAGCATAGTGATATTCTTAGTCAGTCATGCTTCTTTTATACCATTTGTATCTTAAATTTTAATAGGCTTTCTGATGATTACTTAAGAGAGGTAAATTGAAACTATACTTAATAAATTATTAAACTTGAGTGGCTTTAGTGATTTAAAAATATTACTGGCATAGAATCAAAGAGAGAGAGAAATATGAAAGAGTGAAATTGAATGTGAAAATAAAGCAAAGTAGTGAACAATATAAAACTATATATATGTATATATGTGAGATTTTATATATGTCTATATAAAATACACAAATGTACTTAATTGAAAATATTTAAGTAAATCAATATTAAGATTCTCTTCTTTATTTGAAATCCTGCACCATTTCTATCATAAAAATTCCACGAAACTTTAGAGTCCACATGTTGGATTTATAGCTTTGCCTAAAGAACTTTTCTTGTTACAGAGGAATTTCCCATATATTTTTCGGCTAGAGGTTTCCTTACAGCCTGCATGAGGCAGAGTATATTATAACCTTCCATCAGTCATCAGTCAACTTCAATAAAGTACTGGCTAATTTCTAAAGTACTTTTGTGTTTCAAGGGTAAAAATATGTCACACATATATTACTATTGCCAGGCTACAGTAAATATAAGAGAGTCTCTTTTCCCCCATCTCTTCTTGGTTATAGAAAAAAAGATGATGGAATTAATTTACACATACCCACAAGCTTTGCGGGAACCCTTTACAGTTGGCAAATAGGACTGGTTTATGTACCCACTCAGCAGTATTTTTTTAAAAGAGGCAGTCACTTGGCTGTTAAAAGGTGGGAGTGGGGAAGTTAAGCAAACTAAAAAATGCTGCAGCAGCACTTGGTCTGGAATGACTGCTAATGTGAACACCCACTCCTATTCTTGGTTGCCTTTGCCTTATATGGATAAATAGTGGTGGATAAGTCAGAGTCCTGGTTATTTCTCTCCTAATCTTCAATGATCACAAAGCTAAAAAGCAAATTTCAAATTCATTTGTCATTGTTGTTGTTCATCTTCCTGTTTTCTTCAACTGTAAACATTTCAATATTCAGAAAGGGAAGAAAAGATGGTTGTATAGTGCTTGGGTACTTTTGTTTGTATATGTACAAGTATATATAAGATTTTCCCTTAGAAGCATTATTAAACAGAGCTATAATGTTAAAATCTCACACATTTAGAATGAATTTACTGGGTTGAAAAGACTGCATAGTGAATATAGATACTTGATTTAATTTGGGAGTTCTTAAATATATTTATGTATTTTTATGAGAAAAAGTTTATCTTTTTGCTATCATTTTATAATTCTGCTATATAAGTATTCATTTCATATACACCTATGCTCAACATTTATACTAAATTATTTTCATAGATGAAAACTTATAAAACAAAATTGCTTAATATCTGAATTTTTCTACTTCCTCAATATTTTAATTTAAATGACACATTTTCAAATTGTTAGAACTCCATAAGTTTCTGAAAGTTGTTAGAAATTCATAAGATTAAAATATGGTTGAGAAATTCTAAAACCATTTTTAAAGGAAAAGAAGTTTATGTTAAACATTTCAAAGAAAGCCAGAAAATCTCAGTTCAATCAGAATTGCCAAAGGAACATTTTTCTGTTTTTTAAATAAAATATCTATTTGTCTTAAAAAATTAAATACCTCTAACCCAGATAGAATTGATTCAAATAAATGTTGTTCTTAATTTTTAGTTTAAATAAATGTAATGTGTACATGAATGATAGTGTATACATTTATTTTTTATTTTTATAAAGGTAAAGATTATTTTGTGATGAAGTGGGATCTCATTTTTTCCTAGCATCATATTTTTCAACTACTTCTTTATTAATATATTTTCTCTTTTTTAGTATAGTATCCTTAATATAAAATATCAAAAACAGTTTATATTATTAGCTAAAGGGAAGTAATGCATTGAGAGTTCATCCTCAATATCTAAGCAAAAACTGTGAACCAGAAGCTGTATAGATTATAATTCATTGTACTATTGTGATGACATGTTCTTTTATTTTCCATAAGAAAAAATACTTTATACATAATGTTCCTTGAGGTCCACTTGAATTTGTTTAGTACCTCTAACCATATTGCAAAAGTCTACGTTTTCCTTAAGATAACCTATTGCATTCCATGAATAAAACACTCTTTTGATGTATTTTTTTGCAGTGAGCTGCTAATGCTTTGTAGATTACTATGACCTCAGTGATAAATTTTCCTTTTGTTGAACTTCGAAAGCTCATAATTGTTTTTAAAAATGCTTGACTGATTTCCAGGTATAGAATATAACAATTGATAGGTCTTTAATTCATAGAGGAAAAGCATTCTATTGTTGACTCATAATATTAAATTTGTGATTGTGATAAGTTCAGAGGCTGGTCATCAGCCTTTCATATTTTTAGTATTTAATTTGCTTTAATTATTGATATAAGTGTTAACATTTAAATTTACCATCTATGAAGTAAGTGTACTGTTTTGGAACTTTTGAGTTTTCCTTATTTTCAAAAAATCTTTAGAATTTCAAATATTATTATAGTTCATGTAAATATGTAGATGAAGAATAGTTGTATTCTTCCTTCTTCCTATTTTGTAGCATACTGGAACTAAAATAATAATAAGATATGACACTAATATCTTTCTGAAAGGCAAATTGAATTACCAATTCTAAATATTTTCTTTTTTGATATAGTGGCATATGGTACATCAACTTACATATCTAAGTATAAAATTCACATTTCAGAGTCCAGATATTTATGTAGGTTCTTGAATGTTTCCCTTTTATCTTGAAAATTACTGTATTCTCTTTGTCACCATTTTTTTTTTCCTGAAAGAGATCAAGTCCTCTTATTTTATCTCAAAACAATCTTAAAATTTCTCACCTAAAAACTTTTCTTTGGTCTCTCCTGAAATTTTGTTACCTATGAATGGAAAGTTAGCCTGCTTATCATTAGACATCTTTTGTCAATTGATTCTTCTGGGTCAGTGCCTATCCTAAACATTATTTGAAAATAAATGTATGGTGAATAACATTTCTCAGGTGACCTCTACTTGTGTGTTCTGTCTTTGCAGAATTATAGACTTTGAGAATTTGAGGAAACTTAAAGATTTTCTACTAAAACTCTCTTTCCAAAGGACAAATCTCCTCTATAACACTGTACACACATGGACATTATTTGCAAAATCCAGGGATTCATAATACCTCAATTCAAGTGTCATCCTATTTAATTCAAAGGACTGCTCTGATTTTCAGAGAGTTGTCTGATTTAAGCTTAATACCTATCTCTCTTGAACTGGTATCCCTTGGTCTTCTAGAAGTCACCCCTCCTTATCAACTTTTTCTTTTCTGATTAAGCCCCTCAGCCTATTTCAACTAAATATATATATATATATATATATATATATATATATATATATATATATATATATATATATATATGTCTACAGCATCTTCATTGGATTGACTGACCCATCTAAATAGGAATTACAAGGGTGCAGGATCTGGTGGCTGTTTGTTCTTTGTATTGGTTTAGCATCTCAGGCTCAGATGACTCAAGGACTCAAGTAATGTCTTCAGGATGCATTGTCTTTTCTTTCATTTTTAATCTCTGCTTGGCTTTAATACCTCCTTCTATAGAATTTTTCTCCATGTGGCAAGGAAAATGGGTAGCTCCCAGGTATCTAATTCACTTCTCGTTCTTACCAAAATGGCGGTGTTGTATTAGCACAAAAAATAAAAAACAAAAACAAAAGCAACAAACAATTCCCCACCAAACCTCCCCGCTCCAAGGCAGAAAGCACCTTGCCCCTCCCCTTCTCCTCACATACACACACACAGAAATATTCTGGCTGACTTCCCACCTTGGAAGACATGACCAGCCCTAGACAAATCATGGGAGAGTCACATGACTGGAATGGGAAAGTGCAATTCTCCAAAGAATAGGAGGTGCCAGACAGAGGAAAGAAACAGATGCTCACTGTACTAAAAAATGTCCCCATTAAAATATGCTCAGGAAAAAACACAGTATTTCAAATGAAATTTTAGTAGCACAGTGTAAAGTGGAACCCAACCCTAGACCCTGTAGATCAACTCATGAAACCCGTCATGTCAGCTTTAGGGGTCAACTTCCCAAGGGCAATAACTCATACTGATTCGAGTTCTGAAAAAGAGACAAACCCCGAGAACTTTTCAGATATTCTAATGTGTTACTAATATATTCTTCCTTTCTCCTTCCTTCCTGTTCTTTCTCTACCTCTTTCTTTCTCTCTTCACCTATTATACAAGAAAAGTAGTCATTTTCAGGGATTCTGGGCATAGAAGGGAGATAGACCTGTAGATCATTATAAAATAGTGTAATAACTACAATGAGGGAGGTAAGACACCTAGCATCTTCAAGGTCATAGTGAAATTATTGTGCAGTCACACACACACACACACAAGTATATATATACATGTGTATATATGTATGTATATATATATATATGAATTGAAGTACTTTACAAGTAATTTTATTACATTTTGACTTAGCTTCTTGTCACATTTTCCTCAGATAATTACTACATGTCATCTTTTCAGTAACCCCTCCACCTGCCATGACATACTATTTAAAATTGCGTATTTGATCCCTGCCAGAACTCCCCAACCACCAAATCCTACTTTATTTTTCACCATGGCACACATCATCTTCTAACACACTCTATTATTAACTTGGTTACTGTGATTACTATTGATCTATTCTACTGGAATATAAGCTCAATAAGGACAGGGGAATTTTTTTGTAGTTTATTCAACAGGGTATCTTCAACATTAGAATAGCACCTTACACAAGTAATAAAATAAATATGTAAATAAATAAATATTTGTTCAATTATTGAATCACCCTTTTAATATATTTTCTCTGCTTTATAATGAATTTTCTTTCTCTTCCATCTGTGTATAGTTCTCATCTCAAGTTAGAAATTAGAGACTGCTTCCTGGGCATCTTCACTGGAATATCCCATAACAACTTTTCAAAATTGAAATAATTACGTGTTAGTTTTCCCATCCTTTTCTACTGTGTTCTTTATCTCAGTTATTAATGATGCAGTCTCCCTCCCATCACCCAAGACCACCCAATCAGCCTATAGTTCCCTACCTTGTTTACAAAGATTTTATGAGAACCTTGAAAATTGCCTACCTGAAATTCAGACACATCAAAAATTATTTCCTGGTCTAGCAATATAGTAAGAAAAAGCAAAATAGCTATAAAATTAAATTAAAATAAAGAAAATGAGTTTAGCATGACATGAATTATTCTTTTTGTGTACATTCTGGCTCTTGGCACCACTGCTTCGTTTGTTAAGTCCTCACCCAACATCCAGTTGATAACTGATAGACTCTAAGATTTAATTTACTGGCCTAGAGTTTACAATTTTTTATTCTTTTCTTTTTTAAAGTGAGGGCATTTGCCATTCTCCAGAATTCTCACATCTCTTTTATTCTCCAGTTTCTCAAAGATAGATCGGCAGATTTCTATGGAAAATTATTCACCTGAGCCCAGAAAATTTAACTAATTAAAAGAAGTCTCAATTTTCTTTATGAGATCTTTTGTGGCTTGCGTTTCAGTTCTCTTCTATCAGTATTTGTTCTATCATTTTTAGTCTGATGGTTATTCTTTTTGAGCATAGTAGAATCGAAATGGCCTGAAATACTGCATTTAAATAAACTCTCAGGTGATACTGATCTGCTTGTGCTCAGACCACACTTTGAGTACTAAGCTAGAGAATATACTTAACTGTGTCCAGTACTTACTTTCCTGGCTCTGTCAATTCCTAAGATGACTTAGTTGCTTTCTGCTATGACTAGCTAGTTAATAGAGCTATAGTTAATTCCCTTGATGATATCTCAGTGTCATGATCTTGGGATAGGATGAAGTCTTCAAAAGCAGCTACTAGAGACTGCATCTCCTGAAAATGCTACCATCTCCAAACTCCCTCATATACCTCCAAGTCAAGTGTTATTTAGCTGCATCTTAAGTCTTCTAGGCCTGTTTTCTTTAGGATTACTTCTCAGTGGTATGAGGCAAAAATAAAGATAACCAAATTTAAGGCAAGCAATTGCCTCTTATGCAAAGGTCCTGCCCAAGAGAGCTGTATGCTGAAGCAGGAGCAGGGTCAGGCAGTGAACTGCTGGTAGTTCATGCCTCTGAATGTGTCCAGAGTCTAACACTGGCATTAGTCACGAGGCATCAGAATGTCAGCATCACTGGTTTCCCAGTCTAGCCTAATTGGATGGAAAAAAACACTGCTCTGATAGGCAGAACAAAGAGGACACAAAATAACCAGTTACTGTTGGCTGGGCTCTCTGGTAAACCTGAGTTAGAGCATATTGGCTTCAGCTACAGGCTAAATCGGGGCCTTCTGCTTTCTCCCCTGGAATAGAAATGGCCTCATCTCTAGAGAAGTCAAGAGTGTACTTCCTCACTCATAAGCATGGGATACACATAATTCCACTAGTTTCTGCTGAAGGGTGTAGCAGAGAGTAAGGAAACTGACTATAGGAAATCAGCAGCTGGGAAAGAGGAAAACTGGGCCTAGTTCAAGAAGAAGGTGTAGGTGTGACTCCTGCATGTAATATGAAGAAAATCGTCCAAGGAGGAGCAAGCAGAATAGAGAGACAGAACACACATAAGTTCTCTTCTTCAAAACATAGTAATCCTCCCTAATAGTGCAATGAGAATGAATGAAATCTCAGGCAGGGAAAATCAGATATGCAATTGCTTTTTCATGGAGGAACACATTAAGAGGGTGAATAGAGAGGCAAAAGCATGGGGAAGGGGGACAAAGGATCCCATCTCTCTCTAATCCAGGTTACTCTCAGACTGTCCACAGTTCTACTTCTCTAACAGGCTTTGCCTATGATTGCCTGACCATCATTCTGTGTGTTCCCGCTTGGGGGTCTCCCCAGTCTTTTGGAAATGGTAGTCCCTGATATATACGTGGTTGGCAATAAAACATTGAGTATAATATTAGAAATTGATTTTAGAATCACCTGAATTGTGGACATTCATTTATTTTCTGGAGCCCTATAATCTAAAGTCCCTATTCTAGGGATAAGGAATCTTATCTTTCACCCTTTTTTGAGCAGAGGTGAGAGAGACGGATGGGAGTAGGTAGAGTCAGCTCTTCTCCATGACTGACTAAAGTTTGGATTGGGAGCAGAAGTATCCCCAAGAGGAATAAATAACTGTGTTGGGATGAAGAGCAGAACAATTTACTGTGTTCCCTTTTTCATAGATAAAAATTGACAACTCTGGTCACTGTGCCACTGAAAAATCAGCCCTCATCACGCCTTTGGCATAAACACCCTAGTTATTTCAGTTGACCTCAATGGTAATATTTTTCAGTATCCTACCGGTAAAACATGTAGGTACAATAAAATGGAGTTTCCTACATGTTTAGGTTAAAGAGAGTTCCCTAAAATGCATTATATATTAACTTGATTTAAAAAATCAGAATCTAGGAGTCTTAGCCAGAACAATCAGGCAAGAGAATATAAAGATATAAAAGGTATCTAAATAGCAAGAGAGGTCAAACTATCTCTCTTCACAGATGAAATGATTCTAAACCTAGAAAACCCCATAGCCTCTGCCTAAAGGTTCCGTGATCTGATAAACTTCAGCAAAGTTTCAGGATACAAAATCAATGAACCAAAGTCAGTAGTATTTCTATTCACCAATGTCCAAGCTGACAGCCTAATCAGGAACACAATTCCATTCACAATAGACACCAAAGGAATGAAATACCTACAAATACACCTAACCAGGGAGGTGAAAGATCTCTACAATGAGAATTACAAAACACTGCTGAAAGAAATCAAGGATGACCCAAACAAATGAAAAAACATGCTTACTAATAGGAAGAATCAGTAGTGTTAAAATGGCCATACCGCCCGAAGCAATGTACAGATTTAATGCTAGTCCTATCAACTACCAATATCATTTTTCACAGAATTAGAAAAAACTCTTTTAAAATTCATATGGAACCAAGAAAAGTGCCCAAATAGCCAAAGCAATCCTAAGCAAAATGAACAAACTAGAGGCATCACACTACCTACTTCAAACTATACTATAAGGCTACAGTAACCAAAACAGCACAATACTGGTACAAAAACAGACATATAGACCAAGGAACAGGTTAGAAAACTCAGAAATAAAGCCGCACACCTACAACCATCTGATCTTTGACAAAGCCAACAATAACAAGCAATGGGGAAAGGATTCCCTATTCATTAAATGGTGCTGGGATAATTGCCTAGCTATATGTAGGAGATTAAAACTGGATCATTCCTTTCATTATATACAAAAATCAACTCAAGACGGATTAAAGACTTAAATGTAAAACCTAAAAGTATAAAAAATTCTAGAAGAAAACCTAGGAAATACCATTTTGGATATCAGCCCTGGCAAAGATTTCATGACTAAGACTCCAAAAGCAATTGCTGCAAAAACAAAAATTGGCAAATCAATCATAATTAAACTAAAGAGCTTCTGCACACAAAAGAAATTATCAGCAGAGTAAACAGACAACCCACAGAATGGGAGAAAATGTTTGCAAACTATGCATCTGACAGAGGTCTAATATCCAGAATCTATAAGGAACTTAAATCAACAAGCAAAAAACAACCCCATTAAAAAGTGGGCAAAGGACATGAACAGACATTTTCCCCAAAATGAGACATATATGTGGCCAATGAGCATATAAAAAATGCTTAACATCACTAATCAGTGGAGAAATGCAAACCAAACTTACAATGAGATACCATCTCACACCAGTAAGAATGGGTACTATTAAAAAGTCAAAAAATAAGATACTAGTGAGGTTGTGGAGAAAAGGGAGCACTTATACATTGCTGGTGGGAATGTAAATTGGTTCAGCCACTGTGGAAAGCAGTTTGGAGATTTCTCAGAGAACTTAAACTATCATTCAATGTAGCAATCCCATTACTGGGTACATACCCAAAGGAATATAAATTGTTCTACCATGAAGAGACTTAAACATGTATGTTCATGGCAATGCTATTCACCATAGCAAAGACATGGAATCAACCTAAATGTCCATCAGTGGTGGATTAGATAAAGAAAATGTGGTACATATACACCATAGAATACTATGCAGTCATAAAAAAGGACAAAATCCTATTCTTTGCAGTAACATGGATATAGCTGGAGGTCATTATCCTAAGCGGATTAATCTGGGAACAAAAAACCAAATACCACTTGGGTGATATGTGCACTAAAATCTCAAACCTCACCACTATACAATTCATCCATGTAACCAAAAACCACTTGTACCCTTAAAGCTACTGAAATAATAACAAAAAAGCAAATCAAGCTAAATATTGGGTACACGTGGATACAAGGAAGGGCACAATAGACACAAGGGCCTACTTCAGGGTGGAGAGTGGGAGGAGGGTGAGGATCAAAAAACTACTTTTTGGGTACTGTGCTTATTACTTGGGTGACAAAATAATCTGTACTCCAAAACTCCATAACACAAAATACCATATACCCATAAAAAATCCTGCACGGGTACACCCTAAACCTGAAAAGTTGGAAAGAAAAAAAATCAGAATTGATTAAATTGGAATAAAAACAGTATTTTTTCTGGTTTTGCTTTTCCATTACGTGAAATGATAGTTTCAACTTAATTTATAATAAGTAGTGCTCCTGCAGAATGTTTATCTATGCCAGAAGGAAAGAAATAATTGTGTTTTTTGAACTGAATTTGGAATTTTAAGTCTCTATTTTGTTTTGAGGAAAATCTGTTGGAAAATTGAAACCAAGCAGCAGCAGTAGCTGTAATAACAATAAGACCCCTCTTTCCTTAGACATGATATCATGCGCCTGGAAAATGTCTTCTGCCTCCTGCACCCATGCCTGATTCTCTTCTCCCATAGTGAGTGCCTTAAGCATTTTACTACCTGAAATGTTCTAACTAGGAATCTACATAGGTGGTAAAAAGTATCCTACCCAGAAATTCCAATTGTCTTAGAGATTTTAAATGGGATATCAATCTCCATCCTTTGATATGATCTAGTTAAACAGATTTCCGTAGACCTAGAAACAGTCAAAAATAGGAGGGCACTTGTTTTTTGGGGATTGGCATGGAGTAGCATTTTGAGGAATGATTGGGGTACAAAAAGAGAACAGAAGGCACCCAAGAATTACATCTCCTTTAGGTACTTAAACTATTTTAAAAATTTGCCTGAATTAAAGTGACATTATCTTCCACTTCAGGAGGAGTGCATCTTATTTTAGAAAGTCCCAGGAATACTGCTCTGATTTTTGAAGTGAACAGGTTTTACTAGCGTGAAGTACTGAACCCTTGGGAACAGTGGAAAAGGAATAGTAAAATAATAATGAGACAAAAGATGAATTTCACGAGCATGTATTACATCCCTCCCCTTAAAAATCTATATCACCCATGCTGAATTTAATGCATTGTTTTCAAACTTAACAGAAATCATTTAGGGGTTTAAAGTAGGCCACAAACTTGTTCCACTCATTACCCAAGTTACTTTCAAATACCACATTCAAAGCACAAGAGTATCACATGTTTCTACTTCAAGGCTGCACGTACAGAAAACGAAAGCCCTCGACACAGCTTGGTAGCAGCAGATCCAAATCAGAGTAAATTGTGTAAATTATAACTAAATTGCAAAGCATTTGGACAAAGCAGGCATGCTAGTCTAATCAGGAAAGCAGTGATATTTACTTTTCAATAATGCAGGTTGGAAGAGGAATTGGGGGAGGGAGGCATCACAGATCTCTTTTACTATATTTCTGAACTTGGCAACCTGATCTGGTTTTGTCACATATTTGCAGCTTAAGAAGTATTTGGCTTTTACAACAGCCGAAATAAGTATCCTTAATCACTTTCAACCTATGAACAGATGGGCAAATAGTGCTTTTATAAATGGAGCATACAAAATACTTCAATATCAGCCAAAACTAATTAGTAGCAATATCTGAACCAAACTCTAAAACTGATTTAGTGTTTAATATATATTATCATATAAGCATTAGCAGTTGAAAGGAAATTCCCTGTTCAAATGTTTGCCAAGCTCAGGGTGTAATGTTCGGACATGATTAACTTACTAATCAACTTATTGTATCTTTTCTCACATGTAATCTTGCATAATGATCTCTTATCTCTCTGAAAACTATTTGATTTGATGCTTTGAGCACAGATTTGTCAAACTTCAAATGAAAAAGTAAAAGGCAGCCAGTCAGCCCTGTTCTTTCTCTCATTCTTAGAGTGACATTAGTAGGAGGTGGCATGAAAACAAGTGGAGTGGTCTCTTCTGTGATGAAAACTTGTTTTATATCTTGCCTTTAATGACTCACATTTTTATTTTCATGAGGATTTTTTAAGAGTTGTATGGAGACTCTTTAGTGGCTAAAAATGTCTGTAAAAATGACAATTTGCTCCATATCAAAATTCTATGGTAAAGAAAGATAAATTTAAAAATTACATTTGGAGGGTAAGCAAAGAATAATTTCTGTGATTCTCTAACTCAGAGGAGGTCACTTAGTCTCCATGTATCTGACAGTCACAATACATTTCTCATATCTCATCTACAACTCATTCTTATATAAAGAATGAACATAAAGTCCGTGGCATAAAATTGAACATTTCTGTAATAGTCTGTCTGTATTTGTGATATGGCTGTATCTTTCAATACTCCTGAAACAAACAAATGAACAAAAACCTAAAGCCGGTTACCCAAGTCATCCTAACTATTGAGGATTGGCTATTGTCAATACCAACGTTTCTGTTGTCATGACATAATTTCGTCCTCCTTTGATTTCATCACACAGAGGATCAAGAAGGCTTGGAATTATGGCTGTACTACTTATAAATTTATCATTTATAAAATCAGAATAATAATCATCCAACAAAACTATTTTTTTTAATTTTAATTTTTTTTTTTTTTGAGCCAGGGTCTCACTAGGTTGCCTGGGTTAGTTTCTCACTCCTGGGCTCAAGCAATTCTCCTGTCTAAGCCACCTGACTTGCTGAGACTACAGGTGCACATCACTGCCTCCATCCCTAACAATACTATTTTGAAGAGTGAAGGAGAAAGTATGTCTGAAATAAATGCTTAATAAAAGATTGTTACTACCACTACTGCTGATATTAATGGATTTAATTATTAAACTTTTACTTTACACAGTGAACGCTAGCCTATTTCAGGAAATATGAACAAAATTAGAAAACAAGGAACAAATTATCATTTTTCTTTACAACCTAATGTTTTTTTTACAACCCAGCATCTAATCAGGAATTTGCATCAGTTTTACTGAAGGAGTCAATGAAACAATCTTTGAAGGAAGGTCTTGAAGAGGAGTTCCTTGGAAATAATTGTTGTGATTCCTATCCATTCCTGATTTAGAAACACTTAGTTAATATAACCATTAATAATATTTGGCATGTTTTTGTGGTCTTTTATATATATGTATATAAATATATACATTTTTAAAAGTTACAATTATATAATGTATATAATTTAATAACCTTATTCTTTTAATATCAATTTTTGAAATGACAAGCATTTACTCAAATTATTACATAATCTTCTAAAACAACACCTTTATGACCTCATAATTGTCTATTGATTGGCTCTAACACAATTTACTTAGATATTTGTTTCTAAATTTTTTCTATTATAATGAAACTGGGGATGGGTGTCTTCATGCATATAGCTTTTTTCATACTTAGGAGAAATTTCCAAAAAGGAAATTACTAGGTTGTATGCTCTTGATTCATATTGCCAAGTCAATCTGTTTTCCAAGTAGATTACGCAATTGAGAATAATGTTGGAAATGCATCTTGAACCAAACTTTCTCTGGAATTTTATAGGTTCACAGGGTTTTCCTCCTAAATTTGGAAGTGAAAAATGGTGCCTTATTTCTATTTTAACTTAAAATAATTATTGAAACATTTTTCTATATGTATGTTTCTAATTATTTTTTGCCAGGTGTGTGTTTTAACTAATCACAACAAAAAATGTATTTGAGAACATGATGAAACCTTCAAGGCGCTCTGGTTGTGTGGTTCTCACAAAAATATGTTCAGAAATTATTATACCATAGTTAGGAAATATAATGCAGATGAAATATGGGATGTTCATTTTGGAAGTGAAATTTGATATATATACATATATATCTTTTAATAGAGATATAAAATTTGAAATTAAGTGAAAGACGCTTTTATGAAGACAGGTTTGGTTGCTGGAAACTAAAAGAAAAATGAGCCAGGCTTAGTGATGCATACCTGTAGACCCAGCTACTTGGGAGATTGAGGCAGGAGAATCACTTGAGCTCAGGAGTTAGAGGTTGCAGTGAGCTGTGATCGTACCACTGCACTCCAGCCTTGGTGATAGAGCAAGACTCTGTTTCTAAAATAAAATAAAAATAAAAATATATTAATAAAAGGAAAATAAAAGGATCAGCAATAGATATTGTTTTATCCAGAAAATAAGTATAAACCTGAAATAATGTGAAGGAAGCCAGTCCCTTTTGCTTGTCTGCACATTATTACTATTCTTGGAATGTGTCAGGTGGTCAAAAACTAAATGACTGACTAATGTTTCACCTTCCCATCCAGGGTCATCATATATCAGTGAGAGCTATAAGTTATTCTTTGGTTATAGATTCAGTAATAACTTATATAAAGAAGGGGAGCTCTAGAGATTCTAGTTATTTTGGAGATTAGTGCTAGACAGAATTACCTGTGTTTGTTTGTCACAGGGTAGCAGGTGCTTATTCCCCTTGATTGTAAGATATTATATACTACTTATGCATTATGGAGGAAGCTAAGTTGTTTGCTTTCTCATCCCTATCTTGTGATCAAGATGCATTCATAAAGCATGGTTGTGACTGTGTAAGTTTGTTCAGCAACTGTTTATTTGGTTTACTCATTATTTATTTTTATTTACAGACAAAATTGTATGTATTTATTGTGTACAACATGATGCTTCGAAGTATATATATGTTGCGGAATGACTAAATCGAGCTAATTAACATGTGCATTACTTTACATAGTTATTATTTTTATGGTGTAAACATTTTATGTCCACGCTCTTAACATTTTTCAAGAATACAATATATTGTTAACTATAGTCACCATGTTATACAATAGATCTCTTGGACTTATTCCGCCTATGTAAATACCATTTTATATCCTTTGGCCAACATCTCCCTAACACCTGCTCCCAAATGCTCCAGCTCTTTTTGCCACCATTTTACTCTCTACTGTGAGATCAACATTTTAGATTCCACATGAGTGAGGTCATGTGGTATTTGCCTTTCTGTATCTGGCATATTTCACTTAGCACAATGTCCTCCAGGTATATCCATGTTGTCACAAATTACAGAATTTCCTTCCTTTTATGGCTGAATAGTATTCCATTGTGTATATATACTGCATCTTCTTTTTTCATTCATATGTTAACAAACACTTAGGTTGATTCCATATCTTGGCTATTGTGAATAATGGTGCAGTGAGCACGGTGGTGCAGTTATCTCTGACAAACTGATTTCATTTCCTTTGGATGTGTACCCAGGAGTGGGATAGCTGGATTAAATGGTATTCTGTTTTTAATTTTTTGAGGAACCTCTGTACTGTTTTCCATAAGGTTGTGCTAATTTACATTCCCACCAACAGTGTGCAGGGGTTCCCTGTTCTCTGTGTCCTCTCCAATACTTGCTGTCTTTTCTCTTTCTGATAGTAAATTCTAACATGTGTGAGGTGATAACTCATTGTGCTTTTAATTTGTCTTTCCCTGATGATTAGTGATGTTGAGCATTTTTTCATATATGTTTTGGCAATTTGTATGTCTTCTTTAGGGAAATCTCTATTTGAATGCTCTGCCCATGTTCTAGCAACTTTTGATTCAATATCATTAACTTGGTGTTTTACTGAGTCAGTTTCATTAGTAAATGTGGAATAAGGAATGGATTAAAACATGGATGCTTTTATTGTTTCATTAGCAAAACTAGAATCATATGATACTAACATATCAGTAACTTCTGTCTAGAAGACTGATAAATCCCCTGGTGTCACATTATATTCTTTCATAATGATTTTATGTAGCAGGATTTTTATTGCCCCTGTCAGTTTTTTCATTGAGGTTAGGAATTAGGAATCATCCAATTTTCTTCTTCCAGGTTTTACCTACATTACATATAATGGTAAAAGCACCCCCTTTCTCTTTTTAATATCCTCAAATTTCCCAATATGTGTTTTCCTGTAACATTCCATTAGTTGGCAATCCCTAACCAATATAGAAAAGAGCGAGCTGGTTTTTTAGGAGGACCTAGTGGGCATCATTTTCACGTAAAGATTAAATCCACGTTCCTTAATAGGAGCCACCATACTAGTTTACTGCCTTACCTTTAAATGTTATATATTAAAATGGAAAGTGGATTACAAACTTGATTTTTCAATTACATTATGATAGAAAAAAGTATCAATTCTTATTAAAACTTTGTAAATAAATACTTCTATAATGAACTCAGTAAAGGCATTTTATATATATTTAACTATTGTTCTATATTGTTTTAAAGATAAGATAAATGAAAATGTGTTCTTAATTTCCATAAAGTTATTCACAATGATTTATTAACTTATTATATATATGAACATTTTTATTAGGACTTTTTCCCCCTCAAGTTCTGAAGGGTTAGTTGAAACCATTTATATACTATTTAAAGGATATTTCATTCCAGTTTGTACTAGTAAAAGCAAACAAATTGAAGTTTATAAATTGATTCAAAGAAAAAGCTTTCTCATATTTTATTAGAAAATAAATATGAAACATAATTCAATCAGTGTATTCAGTTCTAGATAATTAATTCTTATTTTGCTGATCTTGGTTTAAGCAGATTACCATATGAAGTTTTCTGTTTCTGGAGGAAAAAAAGTCCTGAAATCCCGAATCAGTTCTTTTGCTTAGTCTAACAGGTTCATGGTTATGATGTCAGTTTAAACTAAACTGAGAAACCTGTACCCATAGGTCTTTTTCTGCTACTATAAATTGTTAAGAAAATGCATTGTTCATAAGGCTACCATTCTTTTGATGTTTCTTTCAAAAGATGAAATTTATAACCTGTAACTTGTAGCAGGGCTTTGGGCAGAAACTACCTGCTAATGATATGATTGATTTGTATAATATATGTTTAGCAAAAATTTGCTGTAATAATAAACAATCTCAGAGTGGAGAGGAATGGAGTCCTCTACTGAGGACATACATATTTTTTTTCCATATGGATTTAGTCATTGATCACCTTGAACTAAGAACATATTGACAACAAGGACATTGACAAACCTCAAGGTTTTAAAAATGTCATCCCTAATGTCACGACTTGACAGATAATTTACCTCTGAAACAAAATCTTTGAAAAAATCAATTTGACAGTTATTGTGTTAGTCTTTGAGTATAAACCTAAGTATATGCATCAGTTATCTATTGCCACAATGGCATCACAAAACTTAGTGGCTTAAAACAACAGCTATTTATTATTTATTGTGCAACAATGATGATGATCTGGTCCAGACCTGGGCTCATGCTAGTGGGCACAACTTCTCTCTTCCCCATGTGGCTTCTCATCCTTTAGAGATTTGCTGGCTTATTGTCATGTAGATGTAGGGTTCTGAAAGAATGAAACTGTGTAAAGTCTCTTAAAGCACATAGTTAGAACTGGCACATTATCACTTCCATTGGATTCTATTGGCTAGACCGATTCACAAGACCAGCTCATAGTCCTAGAGTAGGTGAATAGACTCCACCTCTTGATGAGTAGGGCTGCACAATCACGTTGCAAAGGTATGGATTTAAGGAGGCTTTAATTGGCCATCAATATACTGCACTGTGCTTCTAATATGTTTATGTTAATGTAAAAATATATATGTACATGTGTATTTTGAGATAGGGTCCCATTCTGTCACCCAGGCTGAGTGCAATGGCACACTCATGGCTTACTGCAGCCTTGACTTCCTGGGTTTGGGCAATCCTCCCACCTCAGCCTCCCATGGTAGCATGTGCCACCATGCCTGGCTAATTTTTCATAGTCATTTTTGTAGAGACAGAGTTTCACCTTGTGGCTCAGGCTGGTCTTGAACTCCTGGATTCAAATGATCCACCTGCCGCAGCCTCCCTAAGTGGTGGGATAACAGGCATGGAGCCACTGTACCTGGCTTTATTAATATTTTATTTGTTATATATTCAACTTAGGCCAAAATTTTCCTTGAATAGTCACCTCTTTTTATATTTTGAGATTTGATAAACAGGACAGCCCTGAATACAGTATTGAATTAGACAAAAATATGGACCATTGTAACAAGGTCAAGGATCATGAGTCTTGTCAAGGAAAAGACATGACCCTGAGGTGGCAGTAGCCCATACCAAGCTTTATTTGGGCAGCACATGGATAGGTTTGCATGAGACGTCTCTCCCAGCAAAGGCCTTCCAGAGACCGTGACCTGGAGCCACTACCCAGAAGGAGTAGCGGTCTCCTGTGGGAGAGGGAAATCAGAGAGGGGACTTCCATGTCTAGATGATGACACTCAACCACAGGATGGAGAATCTCTGGGTCATTGAGCTCCAAAGAGCAGCAGTGGCATGAGGTCTTTTATAGCCCCAGGATGTGCCTTATTGATGTCTAACAGATATTGGAAGCAATTTCATGGTGTAGGCAAAGCAAGTAGACTCTAAACGGCTAAAAATATGCTTATTTGGGCCATATTTAAAACAGCTGAATGTCTAAGAATTTTGAATTCGGAGCTGGCAAGCTTTTGAGCCAATGGTCCTAATATGCAGAAGTAAACATAAGGGCCAATATATAGGAAACATCTTTAGCTTTAAAAAAATAAAATTGTTATAACATTTGTATAACAACCACACAAGACATACCTTGTCATGTCTTGCAGCCCTCCTTTTATATAGTGAAGAAGAAAATCTTTGGTATGATCCTGAAGCCATCTGGGATACCCAAAAGATAGGTTAAAAAGACATTATAATTGTTTTGTTTGTTTGTTTTTTTAATTTGCAACTTGAGGCCCTGCACCGTGGCTCATGCCTATAATCCCAGCACTTTGAGAGGTGGAGGCAGGGGATCATTTGAGGACAGGAGTTTAAGACCCACCTGGCCAGCATAGCAAAACCCCGTCTCTACTGAAAATACAAAAAATTAGCTGTGTGTGGTGGCACACACCTGTAATCCCAGCTACTCAGGAGGCTGAGGCATGATAATTGCTTGAACCCGGGAGGTGGAGGTTGTGGTGAGAGTAGATCGCACTGCTGCACTCCGGCCTGGGTGACAGAGTGAGACTCTGTCTCAAAAAAGGATAATAATAATAAAATAAAATTTGGAACTTGAATGTGGGAAAAATATTGAAAAAATTGTCAGATGAAGTAAAACATGAACAGAAGTCACAGGTGCCTTTTGAGTAAAAAAGAAGTAACAGAGACGCAAATAACTAAGTAACTTTCAATGTTAGGAATACCAAACTTTGCAAATAAGTCACAAAGAAGAGAAAAAAGATTCACAAGCACAATAAAAGGAATACTTATGTGATAAAAGGAACTTTTTGATATTTGGGCAAAATATATTGAAGGCACAGAATGGTTTTCCCTATGTTAAGAGCAAACTGTAATCAAAAATCAGTTTGTCAGTGTAACAAAAGTGATATCATATTCTAATTTTACTTTTAAAATATACCACCTGTGTAATGTTTTATAGTTAAGGATTCACAAGCATTTCTCTGTTTTATGATTAAGCTCATCAAAATTTACCATTGTCAAAATTTAGTGTATTAGCTTCTTTTCAAACTCATTATTTGTAAATACAATTTGTTTTCCATCAAGACTTCTATAAATTGTTCACTTCTATAAATTGTTCTTGTCTTTTCTTTAACATTCCAATTATCTAGAGATATAGTATTGATCAAAGTACATCTGTTTCAGACCTAAGATAAAATTCATTTCTTTTCAATTGTTATGAAAACCAGACAAATCACATTCATCATTTTGTAAACATGCTTGTATTTCTTCTTATTTTTTACGTAATATAGTTCTGATCACTCATATTAGCTACAGCTTTTACCCCAAATAACTTTCAATTCTCTCTCTGCCTCTGTTGTCTGTGTCTCTCTTTCTTTGTCACTTTTCTCTCTCTCTCTCTCTCTCGTACATGTGTACACACACGCACACACACACACAAACTTTTCAGTAGAGGATTAAAAACTGTGCCTTTCAAGGCAACTTAGGAGACCAGAAGACTGTAATGACCTAGAGCTGTCACTTCAATAGTACACATTACATATCACCCTACCATCACACATATTCCTCTGCTATTTGCATCTTGTTAGAACATGAAACCTTCCCTCACTTTTTGGCTTGGGTATTTAACTATTTCTATAACAGTCCTCTTATTTCCTCTGAGAGAAATGAGAAAAAGATGTCAACTCAGAATCTCTTAGATTTCATAGTAGATCTTGATGCTACGGACAAGCCAGAAGTAATCATTACCATTTCACCTGCATTCCACTTGGTCTCATACATCAATGCCCATTTGTAAAATTTATTATATTAGCCAAGCAAAAATCCTCTTAGAAGGCAGAGCTGCCTCTTTTCTAAGCTATTCAAAATCAGTCTTAATTTAAACAAACAAATACAAAACTTTGTTTCCTATTCTTCAGCTCTTCTGGCAGCTTTGTTTAATAAGACATCTATCCCTCAGTGTACAAAATGATATATATTTGGCTCAGTAATTTATAAAAATTTTCAAGAGAGTGAAAGAAAATGATAGAATGAATCAGCCACTGATACAAAAGAGCTACAGTTATAAGAATATTGTACAAGGCTAATTTATTTCGTTTTGCAAAGAAGAAAATGACTTTTTTTTCATTTACACACATAGACACAAAGAGAACTAGCAGCCTCAGTTATACATGTTTAGATATAGGTCAAAAATAAATATACAGCACAATTTTCTGTGCTTCAACAAATCTCACTGGTTCATTGCAGCTACTTGGGAGTAGGAAGGTCAGGAAGTAAAAAAGATCAACAAATTCTTCTTATGAAAATTTCTTAATCTGGGGCTGATCTCCATTCTAGTGGGTGGGAAATTTTCTCTTGAATGATATTCAAACTAGTGTTCAAAAATGGTGTTATGCTAGTGTTCAAATGACATACAATATAGAGAATATCAGGAGATAGTACAAGCTTCAAGAATAACTACAGAAAGACAAATATGAAAAGACAGAACTGGGATTTCCTGCCATCTACCACCTAACAGAGACTTTGTGGCTGGGTCAAATAATCAAAATCATACTCCACATTTCAGTTACCAAGAGAATAAAAATAATATCCATGTACAAAACAGAACAAGACTTAAGAATAAACTTAACATAAAAATTAAATAAAACAGACTAAGAAAATATGCAAAAACAGAGTGAATGTGAGTCAGAGATTCACTCTGAGAATCAAGAAACTTGGGTCTGGGATTCAGAGGTGTAGGTACAGATCATTTTTGGGGCAAGACTCAGCCCTGGTGAATGAATTGACCTGGGCATCTCAGTCAGTGGAACTCCATTTGTGAGAGGGCAGAAATAAAAACATTAAGAAGAAGAAAGCATTTTTATATGCCAAAAATTGCAAGAGAACTAGACTTTGGACTTTGGAAGACTTTGAAAAAAACTGGCTATCATATGTAAAACATAACAGGTATATACATATAAAGAAAAAGCTGACACAAGGTTACCAAGATTACAGATAATCTGTTAATGGTAGTAAATCTTCAGTTTTCTCAAATGTTATTAATTGCTGCTAGGGTCACTGTATTAGGGTTCTCTAGAGGGACAGAACTAATGGAATATATATATATATAGGAATTTATTAAGTATTAACTCACATGACCATAAGGAGGTCCCACGATAGGCCGTCTGCAGGCTGAGGAGCAAGGAGAGCCAGTCGGATTTCAAGACTGAAGGACCTGGAGTCTGATGTTTGAGGAGGCAACCAGTACGGAAGAAAAATATAGCCTAGGAGACTAGGCCAGTCTGTCTTTTCACATCTTTCTGCCTGCTTATATTCTAGCTGCACTGGCAGCTGATTAGATTGTGCCCACCCAGATTAAGGATGGGTCTGTCTTTCCCAGCCCACTGACTTAAATGTTAATCTCCTTTGGCAACATCCTCACAGACACACTCAGGATCAATACTTTGTTCCTTCAATCTGGTCAAGTTGACACTCATTATTAACTACCACAGTCACCCATAGCCGTATTGCAGACTGGTCATCGTTTGCAGTATCACCTTTCCCATCTGCTGATCCTATAGGCCATGATCCTACCACCATAGTACAGAGACTCTCAATTCAAAGCATTTGAATCAAAGTTACTTTTCTGATGACGTTTGGTTAACAGCATATCAGTGCCAAATAATTAAATAATTTTGAAGTACTCTGTAGTTTAAAATAGCTTCTGGGACAGGAAAATTATTTGAACTAAACTGCCGTGTCATATGAAAACATTCTCTTTGGAGTAGTTGTAGATAGACTGACATATTCACTTTCTTTTGGATTTCTTTTCATTAGAAGGTTAGTTTTATCCATGTAATATTGGTCTTGGCATATTCAACCTTCTTTGGAGGTCCTTATTGACATGTCCTGGTGATATCATACATTGAATTCTATGTACAAGTTATAATATATTTCCTATTTCAATGTATTCATCATTGAAATAATTTAAAACTGTTTGTGGAAGGTTAATTTTTCATATTATGTATAATAAGAAATTTGTTTTATTTTTAGGATAAAAGGTACTCCAAATAAAACTGATAAACTTGACAGTAAAGTTAAAAGAATTGGACCACACATAGAAATCTTCCAAGTGTTCCGAGAAAGAAAAAAATTCATGATTACCCCAAAATTGATTAGAATGGTCACCGTCATGCAGGCACATGTCAGGGGATGGCTTGAACGGAAAAGATTGCAAAGAGTAATGACCAAGGTAAGATATCCATCAGATATTATAATGTGTTTAAAATTTCTCATTAGATTCAATTCAGTAGAATTTTGAATAGTCATCTGGTCAATGTACATACTTTTTTTTTTGGAGATAGAGTTTTGCTGTTGTTGTCCAGGCTGGAGTGCAATGGCGTGATCTTGGCTCACTGCAACCTCTGCCTGCTGGGTTCAAGCGATTCTCCTGCCTCAGCCTCCTGAGTAGCTGGGATTACAGGTGCCTGCCACCACATCCAGCTAATTTTTAGTGTACATACTTTAAGAAAATGTGATGAATAATCTGTTATGATGACAGTTTTTAGGCTGTGCAAAGTTGGAGACTCTGAACAAAAGGCCTCACTTATCCTTAACTTAGCAATTCTGGGACCACCTATTCTTAAACAAGGATATTTTGAAATAACTTTGCACTAAAGTTGTTTCTTCTTTGCTGTCTGTTCATTTTCTGTTTAGAGCAACTTTCCTTCACTTCCCACACTCCTGGGTACTCTTGCAGTGCATAAATGTCCAATTTCAAAAGAATTACACACATATACAAATATCTACCTGGTCAACTTTCATAGATCGCAATCCTGATTTTTAAAATAAATAATGCACACCCATTTTGGCTGGGCAAATGCAGATGAACCTAAGTGGGTCCATCTTGGAAAACCTTTGAGAGAATCCTAAATGTCCTCACCTTAAAGGGCTAAAGTTTTACTGCTAATAAGGAATTTGGGAAATCAACTATAAATAAAATAGATTAGTAGTGCCCACTCCAATTCCTTGATCTTCTGCGAAAAACCTCTGGAATAGATTTGCAGTGGGCATCCTGAACACATTTCTCTGACAATGTGGTGATACTGTTAGAGTTAATCCATCTGCCTATCTCTGGGTATAAATTTTTACATGTACTAACATGTATAAATTAATATGTATGGGAATCACATATGTAGTTCTGATTAAACATGATAATACATGTAAAACTCTGGCAAAAGGTAAACACTCCATATACTTAATCCCGTAATTTTGTAAGGTAGCTGCTATATCTATTTCATTGCTGAAAAAAATGAAGCAAATTATTTGCCCAAAGTCAAACAGCTGGTAAGTGAAAGAGCTAGAATTCAAACCCATGTCTGTCTAAGACATTGACAGATCCATGGTTAAATTAGACTTAAATTTCTCCAAAATGAGATGAACTAATTTTCTTACTCCACAAAGCTCTTTCTTTTCTGTAACTATCTATATTGATAAACTGTTCTACCACTCATTGTTCAAGCCATAAACCTGGATGTCTCTTAGATTCTTTCAACTTTTTCACTCCCATATTCAACTGGTTCCACTTTCATGACATTTGTTGAACTGCTCTTCTTTGTGCTTCTTGTCAGAACTTCCATTCATCTACCCTTACATGGAGAATTGCAATAGTTTCCTAATTGATCTCCATGCCTGCAGACCTACTTCTGTCAAATCTATCTGCCATGTGCCATATTTGAAAAATTCCACTATTATTACCTTATTCCATTTCTTACAATCTTTTTGAAGACCTATATTGCTTACAGGATATAGTAGGAACTATAACATAGTACACACGACCTCCCTGTTTTGGCTCTTGCCTTTTGTTAAGCTTCATCACATGATACCCCCTGACACATTCTCTGTGTTTTAGCAAACTGCAAATCTTGATTGTTTCTTGTCATCTTATATTTTCATGCTGTTCTCTCCTCTGCCTTCCTTATCTTCTGATAAACTCCAATTCATCTTTCAAGATCTTCCTAAAGTGTATTCACTTAGACACCCTCTCTGGTCCATCAAGCAGAGCTGATCTCTCCATTTTTCTGGTCATTATTGTGCCAGTTCTTTAGATTGTTGTCATCTGTTTACATGTTTGATATGGACAGTATGGTTTATATGACTTATTTGGAAGTACGTACTCTTTATTTTTCTATTCATAGCACCACAGACTATCTTGACACATAATATATACTCCATCACTTTAACTGTATGCATGTATGGTCTACTATTTTTTCTTGTTTATCTCTTTGTATACATATATTTTTCAGTTTGGCTAGATAGATTGCAAACTCCATGAAGACAGGTATCTGTCTTGTTTGTTTCTGTATTCAAATGCCTAGAATGGTGTTTAGTATGTAGTAGGCACTCAACAAATACCTATTGTATTTGATTGTATTTGATTATATGTAGGCACTCCACAAATACCTATTGAGTGGATGAATTGATATAATTGTAGAAGTTTATCATGGCAGTCTAAGGAGATCACACACACACATCCTTAAAGTTCTGTCTACACACATTTGATACATGCTATATAATTTAATTATAGCATTTCCTAATATCAGAAATAATTGTAGAATCATTCATAACCTCTGGCACAAAAATGAATCTAAAAAATTGAGAGAGAAAGAATGGGCCAAAGATGAGCGTGAAAAGGAGTGATTTAATTGATAAGGAAAATGCTGAATTTCTATACGGAGATAGAATTTGAGATAAAAAAGTACTTTTTAAAGGATCAGAGCCAATATAAAGTAGATTGTTGACTTTTACTTGGTTATAATATTTGTTATGATCATTGATTTTCTTTTTTATTCCATCATTGGCATGGTGCTTCATCTGTTGGATGATTGCTTTGTTGATGTGGTTAAAGTTGTTTTGCCTACTGTCAAAATCCTGGTGTGACAGCCTGTAATGCAGTTAATAGTAAGTTTCCTAGACTGTGCCTGTGTGAAGGGTTGCTGTTGGGGGAATTCTTGATAACTTTCTGCTCTAGAGGGTGCACAGCAAATCACTGGATAATTGTCAGAACTGTGGCAGTCCCTCCGCTGGGAGACTTCCATAGTCATATTGCTTTACTGCCACTTCAGAGTTTGTTGCTGTGGACAGTGTCTGCTAGAATGTCTGCTAGAAGTTTAAGATTACTCAAGAGACTGTACAATTTCCATTCCCTATGAAAAATTTGGTTTGAAATTCTTTGGAAATAGTGAAGCAGCATCAAATTATCTTACCTGTCATACATCGAAAGACCACAGAGATTGCTATATTTTAATATGAATATTTTTTACACAATTAAAAATGTCCTTTTCCTTTAAAAATTTTTGTGCTGTTTGTTTGCATGTGTTTTGGTATAAGTAATAATGATATTAAAAATTATAAAGACACAAAACAGGGTATGTCCCTCGATGTAATGCTTCTAGGCTCTTACTTAATTTCAATATTTTTCTCTAAATATTTATAATTTTAAAGTTTTAATCCTAAATTAAATATATTCTATTGCTATTGGCTAAAAATGTTGAAATTCCAGGACATTGGAATGGTTGATAGCTACAATAATAAAAAGTGTTTGAAATTGGCTTTTAATAAATATTTGTTGAATCAATAAATTTGGAACAGCCCTGGAGAATCTGAGTTTCAATATTACCATAAGAATAACTCCATGGTCTTCAATATTTTGGAGGTTATAGAATTCTTTGAAAATTTGATAAAGTAGGAATTTCCTATCATTATCTCAAAAGAACAAAACAGAAATAATAACAAAATCTGAATCTATTCATGAAGCCTATAGGACAGGTCATCTTGTATAGCAGCAATCCCCAACCTTTTTGGTGCCAGGGACCAGTTTTGTGGAAGTCAATTTTTCCATGGACCAGAGCAGGGGCAGGGATATTTTCAGGATGAAACTGTTCTGCTTCAGATCATCAGGCATTAGATTCTCATTAAGAGCACACAACCTGGATCCCCTGCATGTGCAGTTCACAATAGGGTTCTAGCTCCTATGAGAATCTAATGCTGCCACTGACCTGACAGGAGAAGGAGCTCAGGCAGTAATGCTCTCTCACCCACAATTCACCTCCTGCTGTGAAGCCTGGTTCCCAACAGGCCACAGACCAGTTGGTTGGGGACTCCTGTTGTATAGAACAGTTTTATTACATAACGTGTGCTAACACTCACAAGTACCTGGAGACCTATGTTCATTTATTCAGTAACATATGTATTTTTTGATTTGATAATAGTTACTATATACTGGGTCCAATTTCCTGCCTGGTGTGTGAAGAGCATACATAGTCTAGTGAGCAATGCAGACAACTGAAAGAAGTCTTAGGTATCATCAGAGCATTTAGAAAGGCCATTTAACCCCAAGTGTGTTTGATGTGGCAATTGGATAAGACCAGTAAACTGAGATCTGGAGGGTGAGGCTTTATTTTGTCAGGTATACTGGGAGGCTGAGAGGCACAGGAAAGACAATATCAATGAGCTTAGGTGAGCTATTTACATTTAAGGGGCTGGGGCATAGCTGGGAGGACAATGGCAGTAAAGGAAGCTGAAGGTAGGAATCAGATTAATAACGTTCTTAGAAAACTTAATAAGGAGTTTATACTTGGTGTCTGAGAACGGATGCCTTTAAAATAGATCAGTGACACCAATAGATTTGTATTTTTGAAAAATTACTGACTTTGGACAATGGATTGGGAGGAGAGGGTGACAAAATGGAGGTAAAACAACTAGTATGCTTTTTCAGTAATCCAGTGCATGGTGGTGATGGGGAAATGGACAGTTGATAGGACTTTGGGTTTGGTTGTATTTGGAGATAAGGAGGAGGGTGGAGTCAAGAATGATTCCCAGGTTCTTGTCTTGAGCAATCTGGTGTATGGTTGAGAAATGTGGAATTTAAGGGAAAGGGCAGGCAAGAGGGAGCAGAAGAAAGGAACGAAGGTAGAGTCCAATTTTCAACACTGTGTTTTAACACTGAGTCCAGTTTTCAACACTGAGTTTAAAACTTTTGTGGGAAATCCTTGAGATGTCTGGGAAGCAGTTGAGTATATGGGTCCAAAATTCAGAAGGGAATTGGGCCATATAGAAAGACTTGGGATTTATCAGTAGTTCTTAAATTCTTTCATGGAAGAAGAATGTAAAACCCTCTCATCTATAAAAGTACCTCATTTTGGCAATGAATCTCATCATATTTCTGAGAAAGCTCTTCCCCCAGGTGATGCTCCTTTACTTCATTCAGGTCTCTGCTCATTGTCATATTATCGAAAAGCTGCCCCATACTAACCTGTAGAAAATAACTCTCTAATCACTCCCTGTCTCTTTTAAAACACTTTATTGTTCTTCATGGCACTTACTACCACCTAACATATATTTGTTTATTAGATTATTGCTCCTTTCACTAAAATGTAACCCCCTAAAAACAGAAATTTTATCTTTCCTGATCTTTAATCTATTCGCAAAGTCTTGTACATTCTTGGCCCATACTAGGAGCCTAATACATGTTTTTAATAAATTATTTTCAAGAGAGTGAAGGATACATAACAGCATTTTGGGGCCAGGAGGGATTTGAAATTTGAGAAACCTCTTCTAAATATGCTGATGCAGGTCCCTGACCAAGGATGCCCTCCTTGAAACCTGCCACCACCCATAGATTTGAGAATCATTGTTACTGATTCTAACTGGAGCCATGAAAGTCAATGTCATTGTCTAGGGAGACTATATAGAGTAAAGAGAGAATCATAAAAAGAAAGATTGAGAGAAACTGGTTGGTGTTCAAGGGGAAGCAGAAGATGAGTATTCCACAAACACTAAAGTAGTAACCAGAGAGGTAAGAAGAAAACCAGAATGTGCTAGATCAAGGAACTTGAAAGGCAGTACAAGGAAAAGTGTTAGATCCATAGTCTCCAATGCTGCTAGATAGAATTTTCTGGCTTTAGTAACAGTAAGTTCATGCAGTGAAAACATCTGCAGTAGATAAATTGAGGCACTACGAAGTTTAGAGAAGGATAGTTTAAGATAAAAAATATTTATGTATGCTTAAATGCTCATTGGAAGAAGCCAGTAAGAGGGAATGGTTGTCAATACAAGAAAGATGAAGATAATCCATATTATACGGACTTTAAGGAGATTGGAGGGGGTGGATTTCTAATTTACTTGACAAGATTAGCGTTAAGTGAGAGGAAACATATTTCTCCATTGTTGCAGGAGAAGAAGGTGTGTAGATGCAGCTAAGTGTTTAGACTTGCCGGTGGGAAGTTGGGGTTGCAATAAACTAATTGTTTTTTCTTCCTGTGTGAAGTAAGGAATTAGGCCATTTGGTGAGAGTAAGCATTTAGATGGGTTTGAATGTTCGAGGAGATTGAGGTAATACAGAAAATGGCAGAGAGATGCCTTAAAAAGCGTGCATGAAATTCCAGGCCACTTTGAGAACCCCATTGAGGTTGGTGATCAAGAATTGGAGTAGTAGCATTTCTCCAGGTTGTATAATTTTCTTTAGTAATTATGAAAAATGAGGCATGGAGATGTAACATAATTACCCAAAATTGGACATCTTGCAAGTGACATAGTTGAGAATGAATTCTGAGAATCAAACATAAGGCTGTCTAGCTCCAGAGCACTATAAAACGAGGCCATTCTGGTACCAGAAGTGTCCAATTATTGCAAATTGTGAAGTCTTTTCTCAGATCAGGCTCAACATGAACATTGGAGTTTCCTGCCGAAAGCCAAGGCTAGATAATACTCCCACCTGACGCTAATAGAGCTAATCCAGGTGAGCTCACATCAGAGACATGAAGCCAAGAACCACGGCCTATAGAGAGGCACCCTTTCTATGGCAATCAGGAGCTGCTATTTAATATTTTTCAGAGTACACTGGGAGAAAACAATATATTTTTATTTATATTTAATGATAAAGTTGACCAAGAATGTTTATTTAACAGTTTCTGTACTGAGCAATTAGACATAGAGTGATTGAGGCATATGCTTCAGGTAGTAGTAATAATAATCTCTTTGACTCAGATCAAAATGAGTACAGCAAGCAACAGTGACACAGAGGAGAGGCCTGAAAGAGGGCAAGAGGAACCAAACCTAGGAGAGACACATGTCCAGTAGCTATGCATGGATAAGGTCTTCGCTAGTTTCTTAGTGGATGGGGAAGTGAATATAAGATTCACACTTAATGGTATTTGTGGCTTGTATATTTGTAAGTGTGTGTTCATGTGTATGCGATCGAGATAACTATTTAGAATGTTCAATTTTTATTTCACTGTGTATAGGTTTTGCCATTTTAAAACATTTTCCCTTTTGTTTTTATAAGGCTTTTGAATAAAGATTTTTTTGATATTTTCATACCTAAATGCTTAGACAAGGTGAGACTTCAATCAACAAATGTGGTCAAGATATCTTCTTATAGGTCTATAGAATCTTTTTTCAAATTTAAAAGTCAAACTGGCAAAATAATTGCTGAAATATGACACAAAGTTTAAAAAAGCCTAACATATAAAAATCTCTTACAAACTGGTAAGAAACACACTAACAGAAATTAAGTCCTACTAAGGGTCATGTGATGGCGGAATTCTCCAAACAATGAATAAATTACTTAAGAAAAAAAAAAAAGACATGACCATATCAAGCAAAAACAAACTGAAATAAATACTGGAAAATTTTATTAAATGTTGATAAGTATAATACATTTGTCCATTAAGATAACAGAAATTGGAATATTATAATCAGTAATTTATAATAACTTTATATTGCAATATTGCTGTTGTAAGTAGAAATTTGTACTTTTTTTCTGATAAATTCTACCTTGAGAAATATTTAGACTTATAGTGAAAGATTTACATGCTGAAATGTACTAGCACAATAGCTGAAGCATATTTCCATGTGAAAGCCTGGGAGGGACACTCCCTGTAATAAAAACCACATGGATGGACCATTGTCATTTTCTCTGGCTCAACTTCCTAACCATGAAAAGCCCTAGGTAACCTTCCAAATGCCTGAGATCTGAAAAGGGCTCCCTTAGAAGATAGGTTGTGTTCCCCAAAAGAGTTGTTACATTCAGAGGAAAAGGTACTCAAATTGAAGTCGGTGGTTGCCCAATGCCCTTCCTTTTCTCAGAAACATCATCTGTCCAAGTAGCACATTCCAAGAGGGAACTTTTCTATTCAGGTTTTAAAGATACAGTCAAAAAACTGCTTGATTCTTAATTATAAGCAAAAGAAATCCACTTATAGATTTAAGCAGAAAGATGTTGAATAGGATATTGTACAGAAGTCTAGAGAACTAAGTTCATAAACATAAAGGAATAGTAAAGGCTGGGTAGCTCCCAGTAATCCAGCCAAATCCTATACAGAAAGAGTTTGATGCAGACACTGAATCCTGGGTGTTCCTGACTTTACAAATGCTGCCCTTGAAAAATGTATATTGGTACTACAGTTACTCTATCACACAAATAGATTTCCCACTGTTTCACTCTTAAAAGCATTATTTGTTTCCATTCAAAGTTTGGGATTGGTGGAGATAATGGATGAAGTTCACGTGTGTGCATCCTAGCAACAGAAGAGGTATGAGTCATGAGCACCTGACTTTTGGCTTCAAATTGTGGGAAGTGAGTTCTGCCTCCCACTAAGATTCATATGTAGGGAATGTGCCAAAAGTGCAATCAATTTATTATTTTTTTTAAAAGACAAAAGCCTATTGAACAAAAGGCAGATTAAAAATACACATTGAAAAATGTTATTAAATGTTGAGAGACATTAGCAAACATCCAGAATCTGCTATTAGATGGAAGGAGAAAGGAGAAGAGGAGGGTAGTAAAATTATGCTAATTAATTTTTCATTCAAATAAACAAAAAATATTATTTCACATAAACAGAAAATAACATGACAGAAACAAGAAAAATAATGTGTAATATGGGCCGGGTGCAGTGGCTCACGCCTGTAATCACTGCACTTTGGGAGGCCGAGGCAGGCGGATCACGAGGTCAGGAGATCCAGACCATCCTGGCTAACACGGTGAAACCCCGTCTCTACTAAAAACACAAAAAATTAGCCGGGCGTGGTGGGGGGCGCCTGTAGTCCCAGCTGCTCTGGAGGCTGAGGCAGGAGAATGGCGTGAACCCGGGAGGTGGAGCTTGCAGTGAGCCGAGATCGCGCCACTGCACTCCAGCCTGGGCGACAGAGCGACACTCTGTCTCAAAAAAAAAAAGAAAGAAAAGAAAAGAAAAAATTAATGTGTAATATGAAATATGCTAAGAAACAAACAAACAAACAAAAAATCTTGTAGAATGGATGCAAACACGGCCAGGTGCGGTGGCTCATGCCTGTAATCCCAGCACTTTGGGAGGCCGAGGTGGGCAGATCATGAGGTCAGGAGATCGAGACCATCCTGGCTAACATGGTGAAACTCCACCTCTACAAAAATACAGAAATTAGCCGGTCATGATGGTGAGTGCCTGTAGTCCCAGCTACTCCAGGGGCTGAGACATGAGAATCGCTTGAACTCAGGAGGCAGAGGTGCACTCCAGCCTAGTAACAGACCGAGACTCCGTCTCAAGAAAAAAAAAAAGGATGAAAACACTAAATTAAAAGGAATGTAGAGTACAATTAAGTGGGCTCTGGAATGCCTCTATGCTAGTTTCAAAACCAATGATACAACTTACTAGCTATGGGGCCTTGGGAAAGTTATTTAAAGATTTTCTGCTTCAGTTGTTTTCATTTATAATACGGTATGCAAAACACAGAAAAGGAAAGCCAACTCAGCGAAAAATGTGTAAATGTAAACACATTCCTAAACAAACAAGAAATAATGAAAATTTAAAAAATTAAGCCTTTAAGAAGTCAAGAACAGGAAAATAAATCTAAATATTATTTAGAAAGGAATTAATAAAGATATATAGAGACATTAATAAGCCAGAAAATGTAAAATGTAAAAATAATTGACTTGTTAACTAAAAGGGAATGGCTCTTTAGAAAAGAGAAAACAAATTTGAAATAGGTAAATATTTAAAACTTTAATAAAAAAATTGTTCTGGTGGAATGTTGAAAATGCATACACAGAAGAATGTAGTCACAGGTAAACTAATGAAACAAAATTTGCACATACGCTGAAAAGGGTTAATTTCTTGAATATTCAAAGAGATTTTTAGAAATCAACAACAACAAAAAAACCTTAAAAAGCCCAGGGAAAAATAGGTAAAGGACATGAATGTATAATTTCCCAAGGAAATAAGAGACAAAGATTTGAGCACCCAGAGTGGACTGCTTAGACAAGAATCATCTATTACAGAATAATACCTTAATAAGACTACATCGTTTCTGGCAGAGTGGGCTACATATTATGGAAATCTGCACACAAGTATAGGAAGTGTCTGTGAAAGAAGCCAATATTGGAAGCTCTATTCTATGGGAAGTATGAATATATAATGACAAAGCAATTCATAATGGAAATCTCTGAACTTCAGGGAGATTATATTACTCTACAATGCGTATATTTAGCCAACCTAGGCAATAAACAATAAATACACCCATAATCTTAGAAACTAGGTGAAATAGACTAAATGAAAGAGGCGAAATCAAATTAAATATAAATACCAGAAATATATAAGGAGCTTTTCTGTCTTTGTAGGCTTTGGATCATGGACCAGATATGAAAGCAGTTATTAACATGTATGGCAGACTAATCCACCGTGTTAGATATCGACGTGGTCTTTGGAGGACAAGACAAATTCTCAACTTAGCAGAGCTAGAGGAGTGGATGGACCGAAAAAAATGTAAGTGATGCAGACACTTCTGGTTTGAATTTAAGTTTGGAGTTAATTTAGCCATTGGAATTTTAAATATAATTACCTGTAGAAAGCAAAGGTAGATTATATGTTATATTGCTGTAAGCAATTTGCATTTTAAGTTAGCATGTTGTACATTTGAATTAATTTATTTGGATCCTCTGCAAGTAACAGAAAACTCATTTTAGCTATCCAAAGCAAAAAGGAAATTTAACAGGAGAATATTGCAAAGATAGTGAAACAATTAGATTTCAGACTGAATATGAAACACAACTGCTTCAGAGATCTAGGGAGCAGGAAATAAGGGATAATCTCAATTTGCCTCTGGGGGATAGATAAGCCCCTACCACTTAAAGACTCTTTGTTGCTATGCTTTAAATTCATATTCCAGGGAGACAGCAACTGATACATATAGCTTGAATCATAAATCCAACACTTTGCAGTGGGAAGGTAGGGAATCCTGCTTGAGAGTTGCACAGAAACTGTGTTCATTGGAGGAGGGGTAGCTGCACAAAGAAAAATTGTATATACCAGAATAATAGTTAATGGACACCGAGCCTACTAAACAACACATTGCTTATTAGTGTTAGAATTCTATTCATAGAACAAATTATCTCATTTATATCTTAATTTTCAGAGATCTCAATTTATATTTATATTTAATGAATTCAGTATTGCTTAGGATTAGGATAGATTATTAGAGCCAGTTTCTTGACTAAAAAAATGACACAAGTAAGTTATATTTAATTGGAATCATTGTCTTACTGCTTTATGGGTAAAAATGTGAAAATGTTGGTAGTCTCAGCTAGTCATACAGTATTTATTTTACATTTAAGACTGTAAGGTCCATGAAGAAAGGGATTATGTCTGTTATATTTATCAGTAAATACTCACTATCTAGCAAATGCCTGGTTTATAAGAAGGGCTCAAAAATATTTGTTAAAATGATAGTTTTCATTAAGTTATGATAAAATTATGTGCTAAAAGCTATTTGCAGATAACCAGAACTCTTTGAGTTAGAATAGTTTCTTTTCTGTGGCTAGAGGTAGAGGGAGGAAGAAGTCAGAGAGAGAGGAGAAAGAGAAAAGAGAGAGAGATTGTTTTATATAAGTCAGAGGTTGCTAGATCAATTCATCCAGCCCAGCCCAACAGCCTGGTTTCTAGAGAAAAGAGCAGAAAGCAGCAAAGTGTTGGAGAGATGGGAAGACAGGAAGAAGAAAGAATGAGAAAACGAGAAGAGAGAGAGAGAGAGAGGCAGTGATAGAGAAGATCCTTCTCCCATTAAGAAGCTACTTGGACTCCTTTTACTTATAGAACCGAGAGAGAGAGTGAGAGTCAGATTTTAAGACTTTTGCCCGTAAACTCTCCATACCACTAGTAGAAAATTCAGGAAGATCTTAGTATTTTTTTTATGAATAGTAGTTTATATTATATAATCTAATATGAATGTACTGATTTCATAATACTTATCAAAATATATACTAAAACCTTACAGTTATTACACTGACCACATTTTCTTTTCCATCCACTTTAATTTTTAGCTGCTGACTTCCAAATCACATATCCTTTCCAAAATGCTCCTACTATTTTACTCAATTAGTCTTCTCTTCATACCCCAAACTATCACTTAATTGATTTTTTAACGTTATGGAATGTTGCTTATTTTTCGTAGCTTTACTTTCTTTTCATGATTTCTCCTTCTCAATTTGTAATGCAGATTTCAATATTTTTGCATCCTAAAATATCCCCTCAGTTTGAAAAAAATAATTAATGTGATTTCTGTTTTCCAGCCTGGACTCTGGTGCTTTCTAGCTGAGAAGCTTTTTCAGTAAAAGTCTTATAGATAGTAAGGGATAAGCCAGGTGGACTATGGGGGAAGAAGGTTCTAAGCAGAGGGAGCAGCAAGCACAAAGGCCTTAATTTGGAGGCGGCTAGTCTTGGAGAAAGCCAGGAGACTAGTATTACTGGAATGAAGTTTGTGACTGGAGCAGAGCAAAATGAAATTGGAAAGGTAGTGGGGAGCACAGGTTATGTCAAGCTTTATAGACGATTGCATTTTACCTTGAGAGAATTGGGAAGCCATTGGAGGATTGGGAACAGAGGACTATGAAGCAACTTGTGTCGCAGACATCACTCTGGTAATTTTGTTGAGAATAGGCTAACATGTGGCAAAAACAGAATAAAGGAGTCCAGTTAGGACAGATGGTGGTCTGTCCAACATAGGAGCTGAACAGTAGAACAGAAATTGGTAAATGAATAATTTAAAGAATTACCAACCAGAGCATCCATTTACATTGAGGGGAAAGTAACTCAATAGAGACAGAATTTGCAAGTTCTAATTTGTCTTCATGTTACTTAGAAAATTCTTCATCCTTTCCGTGTGTTGATGGCTAATTGGGTGATATTTGGCAGTTACCTATACACTTTTTAAGCATCTTTCAATGATCAGAAAATTTCATTAATTTTCATGATTTAAGTTTTATATTTACCCTAAATATATCATCCTTGAATACTAATTATCCTTGCATGTTGCTGAAAGTTTGCTCATAGGGCATAATATACAGGTTAAGGGCACTGTTATCAATTATACAGTTTCAAAGTCATAATATTAATAGGTACATCAATATTATCTTGTGAGAAACATATAAAGTGATTAATTCAAGGATTTCTCAAGGAGAAATACATTTACTTAATCACAAAAGTAAAAGGTGATATTCTTTTTGTTTTAGTTTAGAATCAGATCCTGAGACAATAATTCAAGTACAACTAATTTGCTTGGGAGTTAATCCTAGGCAATACTGTTAATGGAATGAAGAAAGGAGACAGAAGGGAAAGGAGTCAAAAAAGAGTGCAATATCAAGCAAATTACTACCTGGACAACTGAAGCTTAATCCCTCTAGGGAACTGAGAAAAAACAGTGTAAACAACTTGCCTTGAGTGCTGGGTCTTTATCAACCAACTCCCCTGAGTCAGTGGTTGAGGCCCACTGCTTGGTGCATAGATGGGTTGAGTGAAGGCCTGTAGCCAGAGGGAGCCCTTAGGCAATGGAATGCAGATGCTGGCAATTGAAAGTCAACTTAGCATGCACAGAAGTAAGGACAAGGAGTTATGGATGGGGCACTGAAAGAAACTGCTCTAGTTTGCTTATTTCAAAAGAGACAAATAGCCATAAATACACTAAATATACATTTTCATTTATTTTACTGCTGTGTTTTAGGATCTCAAATAGCTATTCATATTTAGACAATCACTAAATATGTCTTGAATCTGTTGATGTCTCATAGCTATCTCCCTCAGCTAAATGAATGAATGAATAGAAAAACTGAAATCCATGTGGTTGAGTGCCAGGATGATATAACTTCTGTTAGAAACCACTTTGGTGCCTTTTGCCATTGGCAGCCAGAGCTAAACCTGTATTTGAGCAGTCCCTGACATCCTATAAATGTTGACTTACACAATCAACATTTACAGGATACAATTATACAATTCATGGGGTTAAATGTAACATATTTCAAAGTAGAAACTCAGTGTCACTTTTTTGAAAAGAGAAAAAAAGAAATTATTTATGGAAAACTATACTTATAAAATGTATGCATCAATTTTCTTTTTTTTTGAGACGGAGTCTCGCTCTGTCGCCCAGGCTGGAGTGCAGTGGCGGGATCTCGGCTCACTGCAAGTTCCGCCTCCCGGGTTCACGCCATTCTCCTGCCTCAGCCTCCCAAGTAGCTGGGACTACAGGCGCCCGCCACTACGCCCGGCTAATTTTTTTTTGTATTTTTAGTAGAGACGGGGTTTCACCGTTTTAGCCGGGATGGTCTCGATCTCCTGACCTCGTGATCCGCCCGCCTCGGCCTCCCAAAGTGCTGGGATTACAGGCGTGAGCCACCGCGCCCGGCCATCAATTTTCTTGCTCATTATCTAACTCCTTTCTAAAGTCAAGTATGGGAGATAAGTGATAGGTGGCCCAACTGAGTGGTTTTCTGTGGTAGTCTTGAGCCAGGAGTGACAAAGTATCTTAAATATGAAAGTAGAAATACATGAAGTTAGTGAGCAAAAAGTAGACATTGCTCCCAATTAGGGGCCAACTTTAGAAACAGAATAAGCCATCCAAAGTGGAATTACCAATTTTTAAGTAGTTAGAATGTGAGTAAAAGCCAACAACAGATGAAAAAAGTAGAGCAGCTAATAAACAATGAAGAGTGAAATGGATCAGTAGGTGTCAGGTCCTCAGAAGTCCTGTCATAAAAACTATGTCTTATGACATGGTTGAGTTGACATTATAGGATTTATGGTCAATTATCATGAAGTCAGTATAGAAGATGCCAGTATTCATCTTGGGGAATCAAGTAAAAATTTCACTACTGCGGAATGTGAGGAGAGAGAAACATGCCCACTTCCTTCTAACCTTTGCCAGAAGGTTGATATAGTGCTAGACTAATCATGGAGACTTACTGGTAGACAGGAAAATAAAGCTAGAGTTAAAGTTTTTACTTGATGTATTGTTTAAAAAAATATTTTCTTTTACATTTTTGTCCTTTTAGTCTATGAAATAATGTTTGCTAAGAGGGAAGATTGGCCAAAAATTGAAAGAAATGAGCTCCCCAATTTCTTCAGTGACTGTGGTCATTTCCCAACTCAGAAACAAGTTGATGATACTTGGGACCTGGTCCATCAAGGTGAGTAGTTTCTCATTTCTTTTTCCCCCCTTCTTTTCCTTTCAACTTCTTTCTTTTCTCTTTCCCAACTTTCCTTAGTTGTTCTCTTCCTTTCTTCATTCCTTCCCTTACTTTTACTAAACTTTTTGTGTAAGTGCTTTCCCTCAAATTTCTTTGCATCTGATCTTAATATTTGTGAAGGAAAATATTTGAAAAGTAGGTTAAAAGAAGTTAATACAATACAGGTTTTTTTGGAGGAAGATGGAAGAGGTGGTTTTCATTTTTATAGTTTTTAAGTATTTTTGGATATAAAATAAGTTACATCAAGCTGAGTATATTTTAAACTATCATATTTTAAATACTGATGCTAGGAGGCTTTCTCCTGGATAGTTAGATTTGGTATTGGAGAACACGGTCAAGTTAAAATGTATAAACATTGTAAGCTATTTCAATATAATAGACTTTCACAGAAAATCATTTCTTTTCTGAATAATACATGAAAAATATTGTTTATGAGAATATTTAATAATTTAAATTGAGCAAGATTTCTCTCTAAAGACTAATAAGGGGATGTAAATTGTCACAAAAGTATGAAAACATCTCAATGAATTTTCCTTTAATATTTTAAGATTCTTTTCAGCTTTTCTTTCTTTTTTCCCCAGCTTTGTCAAAGTATAATTGACAAATTAAAATGGTTTATATTAAAGATGTAATATGATGATTTGGGATACATATGCATTGTGTAATGACTACTACAATCAAATTAATCAATATATCCATCACCATTCATAGTCACTGTTTGTGTATGTAAGTGTGAGTGTGTGGTGAGGACACATAAGAACTCTTCTCCTAGCTAATTTCAGGTAATCAATACAGTATTAACGACAGTCACCATGCTGTACATTAGATCCCCAGAACTTATTTGTCTTTCAAACTGAAAGACAAAAAGTTTGTATGTTTTGACCAACATCTCCTTAATTGCCTCCAACCCTCAGCCCTGGCAACTGCCATCCAACTCTATGCTTTTATATCAACTTTTATAGATTTCCCATATAAGTGAGACTACACAGTATTTGTGTTTCCATATCTGGCTTATTTAACTTAACATAATGTCTTCCAAGTTCATCTTTATTGTGACAAATGACAAAATTGCCTTATTTTTAAAGACTGAATACCAGTCCATTGTGTATAATACCACTTTTTAACAAAGCTGGAGGCATCATGCTACCTGACTTCAAACTATGCTACAAGGCTACAGTAACCAAAACAGCATGGTACTGGTACCAAAACAGAGATATAGACCAATGGAACAGAACAGAGCCCTCAGAAATAATACCACACATCTACAACCATCTGATCTTTGACAAACCTGACAAAAACAAGAAATGGGGAAAGGATTCCCTATTTAATAAATGGTGCTGGGTAAACTGGCTAGCCATATGTAGAAAGCTGAAACTGGATCCCTTCCTTACACCTTATACAAAAATTAATTCAAGATGGATTAAAGACTTAAATGTTAGACCTAAAACCATAAAAACACTAGAAGAAAACCTAGGCAATACCATTCAGGACATAGGCATGGGCAAGGACTTCATGTCTAAAACACCAAAAGCAATGGCAACAAAAGCCAAAATTGACAAATGGGATCTAATTAAACTAAAGAGCTTCTGCACAGCAAAAGAAACTACCATCAGAGTGAACAGACAACCTACAGAATGGGAGAAAATTTTTGCAATTTACTCCTCTGACAAAGGGCTAATATCCAGAATCTACAAAGAACTCCAACAAACTTACAAGAAAAAAACAAACAACCCCATCAAAAAGTGGGCAAAGGATATGAGCAGACACTTCTCAAAAGAAGACATTTCTGCAGCCAAAAGACACTTGAAAAAATGTTTGTCATCACTGGCCATCAGAGAAATGCATATCAAAACCACAATGAGATACCATCTGACACCAGTTAGAATGGCAATCATTAAAATGTCAGGAAACAGCAGGTGCTGGAGAGGATGTGGAGAAATAGTAACACTTTTACACTGTTGGTGGGACTGTAAACTAGTTCAACCATTGTGGAAGACAGTGTGGCGATTCCTCAGGGATCTAGAACTAGAAATACCATTTGACCCAGCCATCCCATTACTGGGTATATATACCCAAAGGATTATAAATCATGCTGCTATAAAGACACATGCACATGTATGTTTATTGTGGCACTATTCACAATAGCAAAGACTTGGAAGCAACCCAAGTGTCCATCAATGATAGACTGGATTAAGAAAATGTGGCACATATACACCATGGAATACTATGCAGCCATAAAAAAGATGAGTTCATGTCCTTTGTAGGGACATGGTTGAAGCTGGAAACCATCATTCTTAGCAAACTATCACAAGGACAAAAAACCAAACACCGCATGTTCTCACTCATAGGTGGGAATTGAACAATGAGAACACTTGGACACAGGGTGGGGAACATCACACACTGGGGCCTGTCGTGGGGTCGGGGGAGTGGGGAGGAATAGCATTAGGAGATATACCTAATGTAAAGGACGAGTTAACGGGTGCAGCACACCAACATGGCGTATGTATACATATGTGACAAACCTTCACGTTGTGCACATGTACCCTAGAACTTAAAGTATAATAATAAAAAAAAAATACCACTTTTTTTTTCCATTCATTTGTTGACAGGCACTTAGGTTGCTTTCTTATCTTGGCTATTGTGAATATGCTGCAATATAGGTACAGCTATCTCTTTAACAAACTGATTTCATTTATTTGGATATATACCCAGTAGTAGGATTGTTGGATCTTATGGTAGTTCTATTTTTAATTGTTTAAGGAAATTCCATAATATTTTACATAATGGGTGTACCAATCTATATTCTACCAACAATGTACAAAGATTCCATTTTCTCCACCTCTTCACCAATACCTGCTATCTCTTGTCTTTTTAATAATAGCTATCATACTAGGTGTGAGGTAATAGCTCACTGTTGTTTTGACTTGCATTTCCCTGATGATCATCTACCTGTTGGCCCCTTGCATATTTTCTTTGGAAAAATGTTTATTGAGGTTTGTTGGCCATTTTTGAATTGAGTTATTTTGGGATTTTTGCTATTAAGTTGTATCTTTATCATTTATTTTGGATATTAATCCTTTATCAGACATATGGTTTGCAAATATTTTCTCCCATTCTACAGGTTCTCTTTTCATTTTGTTGATTGTGTTTCCTCTGTTGTGCATAAGCATTTTAGTTTGAGGTAGTCCCGCTCGTTTTTTAAAAATTATTTTTATTTTTTTATGATAGAAACTGGGATCTAAGTTGCTTAGGCTAGTTTTGGACTCCTGGTCTCAAGTGATCCTCCTGCTTCAACCTCCCAAGTGGCTGGGACTACAGGCACATGCCACTGTGCCCAACTGTTTTTTGTTTGTTTGTTTGTTTTTGCTTCTGTCACCTGTGCTTTTGGGGTCATACTAAAAAAAACCATAGCCAAGATTGCCTTCACAGTGTTTTTCCCCTGTTTTCTTCTAGAAGTTTTGTGGCTTCAGACTTTACATTTAAGTCTTTAATCCATGTCAAGTTAATTTTTAAATATGGTGTTAAATAAACGTCCGATTTTATTCTTTTGCATGTGGTCATCAAGTTTGCCCAACACCATTTATTGTAAAAACTATCCTTTCCCTATTGCGTATTCTTGTCACCCTTGCCACAAATTAGTTGCATATAAATGCATGGGTTTATTTCTTGGCTCTCTATTCTATTCCATTGGTCTATTTGTCCGTTTTTATGCCTGTATCATACTGTTTTGAATACAATAGCTTTTTAATATAGGTTGAAATCAGGAAATGTGTTGCCACTAGCTTTGTTTTTCTTTCTCAAGGTTTATTTAGCTTTTCAGGAACTTTTATAGTTTCATGTAATTTAGGTTTGGTTTTTATAAAATGCCATCGGAATTTTGATAGGGATTGCATTGAATCAATAGATCATTTTGGTAGTATAGGCATATTAACAATATAAAGTCTAATTCATGAACACAATATACCTTTTCAATTATTTGTGTCTTCAATTTATTTCATCAGTGTCTTATGGTTTTCAGGGTACAGATCTTTAACCTCTTGGGTTAAATTTATTACTAAATATTGTATTTTCTTTGATGCGATTGCAAGGGGGATTGTTTTCTTAATTTCTTTTTCAGATAATTTTTTGTTAATGTAGAGAAATGCAACTGATTTTTGTTTGTTAGCTTTTCTTTCTATTTATATACTCATGCTCTGGCTTTCTACTGTGTTTAGAGATAATGTCACCACAAAGTAATTGAGAAGAGATGGTAAGGAAGTGAAACAAACATTTCAGGATCTTTTTTTTAATCTAAAGAAAGGGCTCACATACTAGTACAAAGGTGTGAGTAAATCAGAATGTAAAGATGGATGCTTCATTGTATGTTTGGAGTTCTCTTCTTTCATTCTTAGTGCAAATTTAAACAATTCTTTACCTATGGACTTTGTTTTGCCACTGCTATATCCTAGTACCTGGAACAATTTTTTAGACTTTGATAAATATTTGTTCACCTATTTGTAGAAGCATCTACATCACTTTGTGCTTCAGTTTAGGTTGTTTAAGTGACTTTTAATGACAAAAGTATTTAATGTTTTATTATAGAAAATTTGGAAAATATAGAAATACATAAAATTTTGAAGAAATAGCAATTGTTTTTTTTTCACTTTTTTTATTTCTATTATTATTATACTTTAAGTTTTAGGGTACCTGTGCACAATGTGCAGGTTAGTTACATATGTATACATGTGCCATGCTGGTGCGCTGCACCCACTAACTTGTCATCTAGCATTAGGTATATCTCCCAATGCTATCCCTCTCCCCTCCCCCCACCCCACACATATACACCATGGAATACTATGCAGCCATAAAAAATGATGAGTTCATGTCCTTTGTAGGGACATGGATGAAATCGGAAATCATCATTCTCAGTAAACTATCGCAAGAACAAAAAACCAAACACCGCATATTCTCACTCATAGGTGGGAATTGAACAATGAGAACACATGGACACAGGAAGGGGCAATTGTTAACATTTACTATTTATCTAAGTTTTTCTGTCAATATGACATTATTTTATGAAAATCCAGATTTTCCACATATAGTTTGAATATATTGTTTTTAACAATACTTATCAGTTTCAAAGCTATAAATAAGTTTTACAGTGTTATTTTTGACAGAGTAGTAATCTGCCATATGGATGTTCTATAATGTATTTATTGTTATACATTTAAGTTGTTTTCATTTTTCTTATAATAATAAAATTAAAAAATTAAATGCAGCCAAATATAACTAATCAAGTAGTTAAAAAACATATATGACTAGTGTTAGTAATTTAGAATATGTATTTTTTTTTCAAATTAACAGTTTCATAGGGGTATTTTTCTCTACTCATTATTTTAGAGTATATCATAATGGCTTAGATTTAGAGCATGGCTCTGGGGTTAGCTTGCCTGGGCTTAATTCCCTGCTCTACCACTTTCTAGCTGTCTTTGGACAAGTTATTTATTCCTTCTATACCCCACTTTTTTCAGCTGTAAAAGGAAGATAATATCTAAGTCACTGGACTGTTATGAGGCTTAAATGAAATAATTATGTAAAATATGTGGTCCATTGTAAGTGCACAATAAAAGTTTGCTATTATTCATAAATAATTCTTACATATTCTTAATTATGAAAATAAACTTCTATAATTATCTTCATTTTGAAAATGTTTAAATATTAAACAAAATTGTATAATGACTCATTTTAACAGAGATTTTATACTGAATGTCATCAGTTGGTTTCTACCCATATCATCCCTTTCGATTATCATAATGATCTATATGCTAGAGGAGGGGATATGCTCGTTTATACATATTTTATGGATGGGAGAACTGAGGCTTAGAAAGAGACTTTTCTAAGCTCATTGATAGAGCTGGAACTTTAATTTTGCTCTCTTCAAGTTAAGGTGAATGCTTTTTCCATTCTACTATGTGCAGACATTTTAAAAATCAGTGTTATAAAAACATAATTAGATGGATGATTAAAACATTCTTGATAGCAAGAGCTGCCTGTTCATGTTTCCCAGGCTAGCTTAATGCCTTGCAATATGTTAGATTTTTCTGTAAATGATTGTGTCTGTTAAGATTCTTATTTAAACTAAAATTTTCAAAAGAAAAGTTAATTTAAAAGCATATTTTTATTATAATGCATAAGATTGGGAAACTTTCCTTTACAGAAAGGGGCCACTCCAATGTAATTTTAAATATATGTCTAATTATATTGCTCCATCCAGCTACAACACTTTTTGATGCATAAGAAGATTTAATTTAAAATGGAGGAGATATTCTAAAATAATGAAAAGACAACAGAAAATTGATACAAAAAGGAGCTAAATTAATGGATTCCTATTTGCTTCTGGTATATATTCTATTCTTAAAAGAATTTGATTTTATGCATTTTAGATTGTCTATCATCTTCATTCATACTGACTTCTTTGATTGTGTATAATAGCTCCAGATGTGCAACCTACGCATTTTTTCATCCAGTAGAATATTTCACCTGAGCGCATATGTAACTAATTCAATTGATTAACTACTTTAGTGTACGACACCAAGTGGGTCACAGTTCTAAAACTGTCTTCAGTTATTTTTAGCTCTTTTTTTTTCATTCTTTATTCTTATCACTATGGTAACAAAAAAATTTGTGACTGAGGACATGATTTTTGTCTAAAAATCTTACTTTGGGAGAATGAAGCAACTTCAGGCTACATTTGTAGGCCGATCTTAAAAGCTGCAGAATATGCAAACATGAAAACCATTACTTGATATTCATTTAAATTCCAGTAAATGAAACTAATAATAAGAGAAGAGCATATCAAAAAGTAAAGAAAATAATAAATTGTGGGTGTATATTATCTACTTATACTTCTGTCTAGTCTTTAGAAATGTGAACTTTGAAGGTTTTCCCCTATTTTTCCAACATGTAAATAGAACTTTTAGTTCATTTTCTGCAATTAAGATAATCAAAAAAACTCAACAACGATGATAAGTTCATTTTTAGTGAGGAGCCCTAGACAAAAATCTTAAAAAACATGAAAGGTACTTATATTCTGTTTAACCTGAAATATCCTATGCATCTGAACAAATTATAACCTGAGATATTACATGAATCATTTTAGGTTTTCTGACTAGTTAGTGGCAAACTGTAACTATTTCCTGAGCCTCCTGTTCCTCAGACCACAGCTTTGTCCACCACAAACCAACAATGCTGCATTTTCTGCTCCTTTACCAATATATAGCTTTTTGTTATTAGATGGGAAACATATAGTGATTTTCTCTTAAAAGTTTTTCACATGAACAGGCACTCTAATCGTAAAGTTTAATTATCTAGGAAGGGATTTAAAAGGACATTTTAAAAATAGAGGACTTTAGATTAGAAAAAATTTAAGACTGAAAAATTCTGATGGCAAAAGAATGAAGACGTATCAGAGGTAACATGTTAGAGTAGCCTTATTTTAAATAACTTCTAAAATTGAAATTTGACACATCCTTATTGTAACACATTTTGAAAATACACCCTAAAAATAAAAGGTGAAATGAAGAACACTGGCAACTTTATGTTTGAGAATGGCGTGAGGCTCCTGACTAGGGATCAGAATAGGTAGTCAGTTCTTATAAGGATCTTATAAGTTCCTCCATTAACATTTGGTTAAATGTGTTTGGCAATTTATCTTCTTCATTAATAGAATAAAAATAGGATCACATTATACATATGTTGCTGGTGCAAATCGCAGCTCACAAGCTCACTGTTTAAGACTTACTTTTTATTTTCAGGCTTCATGCATAAGATTTAATTTCAGGCAATTTGACTTTTCATTCTATTTTTCTGAGGTTTTTGTTAAATCAGAGTGGACGACAGTCAATCTCTATTGCTACTATCAGCCCCAACCAACCACTGATCTGCTTTTTGTCTCTATAGATTTGCCATTTCCAAAAATTTCTTGTAAATAGAATCATACAATATGAAGTCTATTGTCTGTTAGGTAGTGACATAGCTTGTGGGGTTCAGATGATCTGCAATATTAGCTGTCAACTTTGGCACTTCCTGGTAGTTAGTTCATTGCAATCCCACATACTAGATCACTTTAGTGTCTTGTAGTTCTATGACAATTTAGTGTCTCGTAGTTCTAAACATTAGGAGTCTAAGATCAAGGTGTTGGCTGATTTGGTTTCCCTTAAGGCCTCTTTTCTGGGCTTGTTTTGTTGCTGTGTCCTCACATGGCCTTTCTTCTGGGCATGCTCACCTCAGTATCTCTTCAGTTTTATAGGGACTCCTGTCGTGTTGAAGTAGGGCCCTACCCTTATGACCTCATTTAACTTTAATGCCTTCTTTAAAGGTCATATCTCCAAATAAAGTTGCATTACAGGTTAAAGTTGCTTAACAGGTTAATTTTGGGAGGAGACACAATTCAGTCTATAACACCTGGGATATCCATTGGACTTATTGGCACTTATTAGTCAATTTAATCAGGATGCAATAAAGATTCTCTTTTTATTTTATTTTATTTTTTGAGATGAAGTCTTGCTCTGTTGCCCAGGCTGGAGTGCAGTGGTGCCATCTTGGCTCACTGCAACCCCCACCTCCTGGTTTCAAGAGATTTTCCTTCCTCAGCCTCCCGAATAGCTAGGATTACAGGTGCCCACAATAATGCCCAGCTAGATTTTTGTATTTCTTTTAGTAGAGACGGGGTTTCACCATGTTGGCCAGCCTGGTCTCAAACTCCTGACCTCAGACGATCTGTCTGCCTTGGCCTACTGGGATTACAGGCATGAGCCACCACTCCTGGCCAATTCTCTTTTTATTTTTTAACATCTCAATTGAGTTATAATTTACATCTTAAAAAATTCACCCATTGTAAGGATTCAGTTAAATGATTTTTAGTAAATGTGCATTGGTGTACAACCATAAGCATGTTAGATTAAATTTAAAGATTTTCATAACCTCAAAACATCATTTTGTGCCCATTTGCAGCTAATCCCTACTCTTACCCCCAGCCCCAGACAACGACTAGACAGCCTTCTGTCTCTATAGATTTGTCATTTCTCATAAATAGAATCATGCAATATGTAGTCTACTATGACTGGCTTTTTTCAACAATATTTTTGAAGTTCATCCATGTTGTAACATATTTTAAGTACTATATTCTTTCTTATTGCTGAATGAGATTTCTTTGTATAAATATGCCACATTTTGTTTATCTACTCATTAGTTGATGGACATTTGGGTTGTTTCCACCTTTTTGTTATGAATAATGTTACTATGAAGATCTCATTGTGGTTTTAATTTGCATTTCTCTAATAATGAATGATGCTGAGCATCTTTTACTAGACATTTTTATTTATCTTCTATAGAGAAGCCTATTCAGAACTTTTGCATATTGTTTCAATCAAGAGCTTTATTTTCTTATTATTAAATTATTAACGTCTTTCTATTCTGGGTACAAATTCTTTATCAGATATATAATTTGCAAGCATTTTTTTTCCCCAGGCTGTGGAATATATTTTTATTTTCTTAATGGCATTCCTGAAAAGCAAAGGTTTTTAATTTTTATGAAGTCTAATTCATCAGTTTCTTTTTTTCTTTTCTGGGGTATGCTTGTGGTGTTATATCTAAGAAGTTTTTGCTTGTAATAAGATAAAGGTTTTTCTTCTATGATTTTTCCAAGTATTTTAATGACTTAGCTCTTACTTTTTGGTCTATAGTTTATTTTCTTTCAGCCTATTTGCAAATTTGAATATAAAGTGTTTTCTTATAGAGAGCATAGAGTTTGATCTTTTAAAAATGTAGTCTGTTTGATTGGAGTCTTTAGTTCATTCATATTTGGTACAATAATTGATATGCTACATTTATGTCTGTCATTTTACTATTTATTTTGTATATGATTCACGTCTCCTTTGTCCCCGTGTTCCTCCTTTACTTCCTTCTTTTGCATTTTGTATGTATACTTTTAGTGTACCATTATAATCATACCAGGAATTTTTAAAGTATATTTTAATAATTATTTTCTTAGTGGTTGCTCTAGGTGTTGCAATATACATTTTAATTTATTCCAATATTTTTAGATAAATGCTAAAATAATTCCAGTTAAACGTAGTCACTTTGCTTCAATACAGCTTCCTGTCATCCCTCCTCCTTTGTGTTGTTACTGTCATATGTATAACATATGAAATTTATAAGCCTAGCAATATAGTTTTATAATTATGTTTTATGTAATAATATACTTTTGAAAGGAGTTAAGAGAAGACATTTGCAGATATCTTTTATACTGTTATATATATAAAACTAACATATATAAGTGTATAAAAGATATCTGCAAATGTATATTGCAAATGTATATATATATTCATATATATATAAATACATTTACGATTTCCTTTGCTCTTCATTATTTCTCTGGATATGAGTTACCATCTGGTGTCTTTTTCTTTCAGCAGGTCTCTGGCAGTGTATTCATTTAATGTCTTTATGTCTGGAAATGTCTTTATCACCTTTATTCTTGAATATTTTTGCTGGATATAGAATTCTTGGTTGCCAATTTTTTATTTTTCAGTCAGCATTTTGAATATATCCTTCTACTGCCTTCTGCCTACCATTGATTCTGATGGGAAATCAGTCATTAATCTTATTTTTGTTATCTTGTGTATGATGAGGCATTTTCTCTTTCTTCTTTCAAGAGTATCTCTTTGCCTTTGTCTTTCAACATTTTGTCTATGGTTTGTTTACAAGTGATCACTTCATGTTTGTTTATCATACTTGGGGTTCATTGAACTTCTTGGACTTTTAGATTAATGTTTTTCATCAAATTTGGCAATTTTCAGCCAATATATTTTTCTTCACTTTTCCTTCTCTCTCCTTTCCTTTGCTAACTCTCATTATACTTATGTTAGTACACTTAAAGTTTTCCCACAAGTCTCTGGTGCTGTTTATTTTTACATCTTTCTTTCTTTGGTTGTTCAAATTGGATAATAGCTATTAATCTGCCTTCAAATTCACTATTTCTTTCTTCTGCCTTTTCAAATCTGTGGCTGAGATCATTTTGTAATTTTTCTTATTTCATTACTGTATTTTTCAACTCTAGAATACGTTTAGTTCATTTTATTGATTCTATTTATCTTTATAATCTCTATTTTAATATTATCACATTTTTCTTTAATTCTTTAAATATAATGTATAATAATTATTTGAACATGTTTATAATAGTATCTTTGAGTTCTTTGTCTGTTAAATCTAACCTCTGAGTTCATTCAGAGTCAATTTTTAGTACCTCCTTTTCATATAAGTATGGGTCACTCTTTTCCATTTCTTGGCATGTCTCATTTTGTTGTTGTTATTGTTGAGCACTGGAAATTTTAGATACTTTGTTGTTACAACTATGGATTCTCCCTTTTCCATTATGGCCTGCTCCAGGATTTACTTATGTAAAGGTTTTGGGCAGTGGTGTCGACAACTTTTGTGTAGCAGGCTGCCACTTTTCTGATATTTAGTAGGTATTCTTTATTGCTTTCACCCATCTGAGAGATAAAAGTACATTCTATTTTCTGGTTAATAATTTAAAGAATAAATCAAAAAGTGAAAGGAAATTCATGAGAACATACTAATGGATACCTTCCTTGGTTGAAGCAATCCAGAGTCTTTTTGGATGAAATTGTTTGTAAATATAATTAACAAGTATAATATATTTTGAACACTTAATATGTGCTGTGAAAAGTAATGTGGTTCAAATATTTCAGACTCTCCATAATAACTGGAGAGACATACAAACATATAACTACATGCATACAATGTTACAAATGCTTAGACATTCACACATGTATCAAGTGCTAAGATGATATAGTATTAATTATATGTTCCTTAGATAGAGGGTAGGATTTGAGTTAATCATTGTAAGATGAGTTAACTAGATAAGAAAATAAAAGCAAAGGTTTAACACATAGAAGAGAGATAATGTGCAAAGCAGATTAGAATTTCCAGGATAGCTGGTAACAGTGAATAGGGGAAAGTCTGTGTCTGTGGGGTGGGTACCTGGAGAGGGAGCCATGCTACTAAAACTGCTGACTAAAATACGTCTGATCATTTATTTAGGTCTAGTGAATTGTGATTGCTTTTCCCCATGGGATTCTATTGTTTTCAGTTTGTTATTTACCTATCATCTGCCTACTGTAAATGGATGTTTTCAAATATACAATGCAAATTAGATTTTGGAAATAAATCAATATTGTCAGTAGAAGCTTTTTAAACCCTTTTCCCTAGAGCTGAATACCTTTGGATAAACAAGAAACCAAACTCTAAGGGCAAAGAGCAACCCTGAAAGATTTGTCTTATCATCACCTTGCTTTAGCTACCTAATCTAGGCAGCTGTTCCTACAATTCTGCCTGCTCTCTTCCCTAGCACTTTTTAAAGATGGTTCTTGACATATGGTCTCATCTTACATTATTTAACTCTGTTAATGCCTGCTTTCACCCTAGCAATAGCTGTGTAAAGCCTATTAAAGCCTCTGGGAATCATCATGGCTAGTGAAAGGCTTTTTCTTCCCCTCCACTTTCCTGTCTTACCCTACAGTCATGTGAGTTGTTACTCCAATTAGTAAGTTACTCTAATTTGCCATTCTGTATTTTTTAAACCTTTGACTCTTATTATTTGGTTTGATATATTTGTGCCATTGTTATGTAAGCTGCATAGAGAATCTGATTAAATTCTGTAATATTACTTAACAAGAGTTATTCTTCTAAAGTGTGTCTGTTTTCTTTAAGTAGAAAATAACCATCTTTAAGAAACAGCAGGAACAGCGGGGGCTTTAGAATGGTGTAACTTCAATAAAGGTATAATTACTTTCATAAGTCTGTTAGAGAGCAGGACTTTTGGTTCCTTTTGTTAGATCTCTGTTTATTAAGATTATACACCCAGTACTCGTAACATGCGGAGAGCCACTAGCAAGTCTTTGTTTTATATGATTAAATTACTATAATACCAGGAATATAAACTCCCTGATGAGAAAAACTTAGCCATACAAGTCTCTGATACATGAAAGGAACATGAATATAAAATACTGTATCGTAAATTCTTGAATACAAGCTGTTAAAATATGCAAACTTTTAATTAATATAATTATTCCAACATCGTAAACATAGTATTAAGGATATTTTTATTTTTTCTGGCATTTATCTTGATGCAGAGTCCTATAAATTGCTACAGTAAAGTGAAAACTTCCAAAGGACTTAAGGTAGTTTTTAGTCCTTTACTGTCATAATGTTTTGTAGTTCTCACTCAGTTTGTTTAAGTCATATTTAGTAATGAACATTTTTCTAGCTTTTCTGAATCAAGCTTTTATTATACATTATGCATTGCTCAATAAGGCAACATGATGCTTCCATGCTGTGAAGCCTGTCATGCACGATATAAATTATTAGTGGTATTGAATTGAAAGCTTATGATTCAGATTTGTAAAAGCAAGCCTCTTACTAGGAGCTGCCAGTTTGGCAGAACGTAAGCCAATTGTTTATGCTAAAAGCTTCCTTTTTTTAAAAAGGTTACCTCTAGAGCCATGATTGGTCCATAAGAGTTTCATTTTGGTATTTTGATTTCCAAAATTTAAAATTCAGTTTTCATATTGAAATCAACATGGAATACAGCGGTGTAGTTATATCTTTTATAAACCATGCTGACTTATAAAAGGAGATGTTTATGGAGTAAATTTTTTGGCATAGTTTTTCAGGGATTAATATAAATATCTCATGTTCCTACCATAAAACTGTTGAGTTTTTATTCTTTCAAAATATTCTCGTCAATGATTCCTTATATACCACTGTGTATATAATTTTAGCATGATGAGGGTCCAAACATCCTTTTGGCTGATGTTGTTCAGTGGTTTGGATATAGAGGACATGATTTTCATATACTTCTTCATATGCACTTGTCATCTTTTGAAGTAAACACAGATACACCCATACAAGCGTATTTGCATAGCATGTGCATCAATAGTAATGCCTATCGGCATTAACAACTTCCTATAATAAAGGCAGATATCAGAACAATCTCTTTCTCTTTCTTGTGGAGTTTAATTCATAATACTAATCAAAAAAGGCACAAAATTGAATGTACACCTACAATTTATAGTGTGCATTTTCTAGCATTAAGATTTACATTTAACATTAAACCAATATTTAGTGGCTCTTAACCAAGGTCTCATAACCTATTTATGTGTTTAAATAAATTGTAAAGTGAGTGCCAAATAAGTTGATTCTAAGAAAGTTAAGGTACCTAGATTTTTAAAGTAAGAAATAGATTTGAATGGATTAAAGGATAATCAATATAACATCACTGTCACTGTCTAAAATTCTAAAGACAAATAAAGCAGTAGAATTTCCCTGCCAGATATATTATCATTCTTGGACTTTTTCATTGTATATAAATGTGAGAATTAGTCTCTCTAGTTCCATGAAAAGTGCAGTTCATATTAAGATAGTTTGTAGAGAATGGATTTCTTTTTTTCTATTAAATCTTGCTATTTAACAATAGTGTTGTGGTTTGGCTGTGTCCCCACCCAAATCTCATCTTCAACTGTAATTCCCATAATCCCCACATGTGATGGGAGGGATTCAGTGGGAGGTAATTGAATCATGGGGGCATTTACCTCCATGCTGTTCTCATGATAGTGAGTTCTCATGAGAGCTTATGACTGTATAAGGGGCTTTCCCTCACCTTCATTCTGGACTTCTCTTTGCCTGCTGCCATGTAAGATGTGCCTTTGCTCCTCCTTTGCCTTCTGCCATGACTGTGAGGCTTCCCTGTCCATGTGGAATTGTGAGTCCATTAAGCTTCTATTTCTTTATGTACCCAGTCTCGGGTATGTCTTTGTCAGCAGCGTGAGAACAGTCCAATACAAATAGGCTATCTACTTACTTAAGTTTTCTTTTGTATTTTTTAAAGGCCTTTTAAAAATTCTCTATAAAGAACTTATGGATCCCTTTTTATACTTATTTCTAAGAACCTTAGTTGTCTGTTGCTGTTGGGAAATGAAGGAGATTCAGTTCTCTTATATGTTTTCTTAAGTCAGGCGCTAGATACAGAGATGCTTATTTATTTCTTTATTTCTTTTTTATATGTCAGAAATACTTCAAAATGAAAATATAAAAATTCTCTCAATCCTTCCTATCACATGTAGAATAAACATTAACAAATGACACATTTTCTACCTTTCTGACTTCAGCTCCTATTCCTCTCATTTTTGCTCACTGTACTATAATTAGGCTGATAACTTGACTTTTTAAATACACTAAATTACTTGCATTTGCTGTTTCTTCTATTTAAAATTTTCTTCCCTCATGGCTCCCTTTGTAAGAGTTTGACTCATGTCTCAGCTTCAATATCAGTTACTCATAAAGCCCCTTCCTGACTTTTCTCTCTAAAATAGCCTGCTGTCTTCCCACTGACCTCTGCCCTCCATCTTTGCTTCATTACCTTAATATTTATTTTCTTTCATTCCACTTATTACTACTTGAGATTATATTACACATGTTTCTCTGTATTTGTTTATGGTCCATCTCCCTCTACTAGCCTGTTGATTTCCAGTGTGGCAGGGGCCATACCTTGCATGTTCACTGCTAATACCCAGTTCATAAAATAGAACCTTGTTTGTAGAAAGGAGGGAAGAGATGGTGTCACCAGCCACAGCAGATTGAAGGCCACATGCCCATACTAAGCTAAGAAACATGAAAGGAAAATCTTTCATACTTTCCTTTAAAATTAGTAGTGTAGGAAAAAATTGTAAAGAGGTAGTATATGCCCCCACATAGTCCTCTAGTGATAAAAAGAAATGATTCAGTCTCTTTTTTTTTCTTGTCTTGGGACAAAAAAAAAAAAAAAAAGATAATTATCCTTCAGAAAAAGCATGCTCCTCTCAGAACTTTCCAAAACTCTTTTTCAGGAAAGCTTGTGGAGATCCTGTAGTATTTCCCAGGTAATACTTTCTTATTCATGAGTATTCTGTGTGATTCTTGGGAAATATTATTTCAAACATGGAATCTCTTGTAGGTCTCTTGCCAATGTGTCTCCTGGTAGGCACTGAGAATCCCTAATGGACCCTGGCATCATACCAGCATTGCCTTTGTATACTAGGTAAAAGACATATTGCTGCTCTTATATTTATTAGTTTGTATATTGTTTTTGAGCTTTCTAAGGTGAAAACAACTTTCATGTATACCGAGACTGTATCTATACAGGAACACTTGCATTATTTTCTGCTATGATGTTGTGAACTTAGGACACACTTGCAGAGCCGGCCAAGCATGAGTCACCCAACAAAAGTGAAAGCTGGGAGGGGATTAAATAAGATTAGGATTCAGATACATGAGGTGATAGTGGAGCTGGCCCTCGTGTCAGGCAAAGCTACCCTCTTATGTGGCCAAGAATGAGCCTTCAATGACCACTTACATTAATAAGACACCTACTATAAACAATATGTTCATAAGAAAGTTAACAAACAGTACCAGGCCAGTGTCTGTTATGAGTCAGGAGAAATGGACAGTTTAATCACAGAAAATGTTTAAATATTAAAAAGATCATTATTCTAATTGTTAAAATAAAAGTAAAACAGAATGGTAACTAGTATGCAGTCTCCTCTGAGGGGCTCAGTTGTGCTAGTGCTACATATAACTAATTTTAAAAACTGATGGCTGCCAGTTTACATCCAAGAAATTTCTACATATTTATAACAGTTGCTGGTGATAAATGCATTGAAATTATGCTTTTTCCTCTTTTACATACTAGACTATAAGCACCTGGTCATTATCTTATGCCTTTTTGTATGCTCAGGATTCACACATTTTAAAAAAGCTTGATAAATATTTGTTGAAGGAAAGAAGGGAAGGAGAAAGAGAAGGAAGTTGCAGTTGGAAAAAGAGAGGGAATAAGGAGGGAAAGAATGCAGGGAGGAAAGAAGGAAGCAAACAATGAGTGAGGGTTACAGTAGTTTTGAACTTTTTTAGGTTGAAACATACAGAGTTTACAAAAATAGAGAAAAATATCTTCTCAAATGTTTATCTTGTTACCATAATTTCTTGCCATTTGAAAGGAATTAGAAAGGAGTTTACTCAGAACTGGCGTACCATACAGATGCTTAAGAGGTAAAACTCATGTCACTTTTTAAGGGATGAGTTTACGCATATAACAAAGAGAATGAATCAAATAGTTCTTCATAGAATCTTATCATACAATCAATATAGTAAATTTATCATGTAGACACAGTTATAACTTACTCTATCATTTCTGCTCCTGAGTAAAACTTTTTCACATGAATCCCAGTATTGTCTAATTATATTGAATATATACATGAAGTATGGAAGTTTTTCTTAAAAGTATTTCCAAAACATCCTTGCAAATAAGTTCCAGTTTTTGTTAGCCCACCACTCCTCAGAAAATAAATGTGATAATTGTGCATATAGAACATAAAACAAAGTAGCCCATACATTTTTAGGAATCTGTGCCTCTCTATTTCTCTACCTGGAGATTTTATGGTTTAAAATAGGCTATGATGTTAACTGAACGCAATTAGTGTGTGTATGTGGGGGGGGGGTGGGGGGGTGGGGGTGTCTGTGTCTGAGTATGCAGGTGTAGGTAACATGATAGCTAGATATATCTTCATTGGATAAGGTGTTAGCCTTTTCTTTGTTCTTTCTACCTAGAAATAAAATCTCTGTGACTGTCTTATCTGAATCAGGCCCCTAGTGGTAACTATCAGTGGTAAAGTACAACATGAAGAGAAACTAAATAGATTTAATTAAGAATTTGGGATTTAATCTATTTCCAGTCCCTTTGCCATGATACTGTCTCAGGACTAATATATTTCAAAACTACTTTTATGTTCCAGTAACTTAGTCTATGTGTCAATTCTGTATCCTCTCTTGGATACACAGAGATTGCTTTCCTGGTTGTTCCCATAGATACATAGAGTTTTCTCTCCCATTCACTAATTCAACAAATATTTATTGAGCATCTTATATGTTGTATGTTCTTCAAGGTTCCATGGGTACAGTATGAATAAAGCAAATTTCCTGCCCTCCTGAAGCTTACATTGTACTGGAGAGGGAATTATATATATGTATACATATAAATTTTATATATTTTATGTGTATATATACACATACACACATATATATTTATATGTCAAATCAGTGATAAGTTCTATGAAGAAAACTAAAGCAAGGTAAGAAGATAGAGAGCAAGATGGGGACATTTTTCTTTGGGGTGATCAGAATAATTGTTTGGAATACCATGGTGTTTGAGCAGGGACCATAAGGAAGTGAGGGAGGGAACCATGCTGATGACTGTGGGAAGGATCAAGTCCTAAGGCAGGAGTGGATAATGAGAGACAGCAAGAAAGCCAGTGTAGCTGGAACAGATGGATCAAGGCAGGTGGTGAAAGGAAACAACAGTGGAGCAGTCGCCAAGAACTAGGTCATAGAGTATCTTGAAGGCAACATTAAATACTTTGGATTTTATTGTAAATATGATGGAGACTTCATATGACTTATATTATGAAAGAGTGGCATGACTTTCATGTGAATGGGCTGTGGGGCCCAAAAGAGGAAGCATGAAGAATTGGCTGGGAAGCTATTGCCACTGGACCTGTAAGAGAGTGGGAAAGCTCAGTTAAGTGGGTTTACAGGGTATGATGAGAATGATGGATTCAGGAACCTCTCAAGAGGAGCATTTTATAACCTTTGGAATCCTTGCAACTGAAAACTGGACTATGTTAGAGATATTCTCTGTAGAGTTGTAGACTTTTGGTAATAGTGCAAATCTTTATTCAAAGATTTGGCAAAATCCCTGTAGCCTAGCATATGGCCTGTAGGAAAACACTGTTGGTCAATGCCAATGAAAGCCTGAAATGGGATGAGACCTTTATGGTTTTATGAGAAAAATATGTCGCCAACCCAAGGGAAGTAAAATATAATAACTCAAAACCAGAATATTTGGAATGACAAAAACCTTCCTTTTAAAACGTATTCTTCTGGTTGGGTGTGGTGGCTCACGCCTGTAATCCCAGCACTTTGGGAGGCCAAGGCCCGCAGATCACTTGAGGTCAGGAGTTTGAGATCAGCCTGGCCAAAATGGCTGAAATCCCATCTCTACTAAAAATACAAAAATTAGCTGGCTGTTGTGGTGTGTGCTTGTAATCCCAGCTACTTGGGAGGCCGAAGCGGGAGAATTGCTTGAACCCAGGAGGCTGAGGTTGCAGTGAGCTGAGATTGTGCTACTGCTCTCCAGCCTGAGTGATGGAGTGAGACTCTGTCTCATATATATATATATTTTCCTACCCAGTAATATTTGCTTTTCATAATAAACTTTGCTCATTAAATATTATGTCTCTGTGCTCAATTCCTTTACTTTTGCTTTATTGCTACTTTTTCACTTATTAAAGGAGTATATTATTTAATGAAGACCCTTTAGTGCAGCAGAATAAAAATACTTTTACTTCTTATGCAAAAAAAATTCTTCCTTTTGCTCCTGTAAGCTTCATCTCAAGCAGAATGCCATTCATACCTCAGAGAGCTTCTATAGTGCAAGGTACACTGTCTGTCAAGTTAACTGATGGTCAGAAGTACCATCTACTGAGCATTTAAACTAGCCTGAGACAAACTGTGGCATGTGAGAAATTTGTCTTGGGGAGTCCTCCATCAATGTTCACACTTTTATACTCATTTTCTGTACCCAGAATCCTCATTGCCATGTTCTGTTACCTCAATTCCTCAGGCTTATTCTTTCCTAATTTACTCTCCTACTTCAAACATTTGATTCTCCCATGAGCCACTTCTTCAGAGCTCTCCAAGGCAATTGGATGATTACATTTTACCTCATCTTTTCAGAATTTGAGATTACCTATGTTATGTAGTAATATCTGATGAGATAGTCATGGGTGCATAATACTATCCTTGCCATGTAGCAGATATGTAATTTTATAAAATATTTTAATGCCTTAACTCAAAGAATTGATAAGTGATGATTGACAAAATGTTAAGCTGTGAAGCTTTTTGGGTTCTACATGGTGCCTCAGTTGAGACAACTGAGTATTCTATTTAAAAATCAAGATAGGCTGGGTGTGGTGGCTCACGCCTGTAATCCCAGCACTTTGGGAGGCCAAGGTGGGTGGATCGTCTGAGGTCAGTAGTTCAAGACCAGCATGGCCAACGTGGTGAAACCCCATCTCTAATAAAAATACAAAAATTAGCCAGGTGTGGGGCCAGGTGCCTGTAATCCCAGCTACTCAGGAGGCTGCGGCACGAGAATCACTTGAACGCAGGAGGTGGAGGTTGCAGTGAGCAAAGATCATGCCACTGCACTCCAGCCTGGGCGATAGAGCAAAACTCAGTCTCAAAAAAAAAAAAAAACAAAAAACAAGATAAATCTCTCATGAAGATATCCAAGCAGCATCATTAAGTACCTATTATGTACAAGATGACTAGGAAGAAATACTGTTCTTGAGTCGATTGCTGATGTCAGGGAAAGGAAAGTGGCATTATTCTTTGAACATTGTCTCAGAAAATCACTTTTTTCTTCATATTGCTGCATGGCTGTGTTTACTTTAACACAGCATGGCATGGGAGAAGCAAAAAGACTTGAGTGAAATATAACTTATTTTAATTTTGGTTCCACCACAAACTAGCTGTATAATCTTGGGCAAGTTTCTCTTTTGGAACCTTATTAACTCCTGTGTAAATTAGAATAATACATACTGAAATTCAACAGGTATCTTACTCCGCTCAGGCTGCTTTAACAAAATACTATAGCGTGGGTGGCTTAAACAATAAATATATATTTCTCACAGTTCTGGAAACTGGGAAGTTCAAGATCAAGGGGCTGCCAAATTCAGTGTCTGGTGAGGACTCTCTTCCTGACTTGCAGATGGCAGCCTTCTTGCTGCATCCTCACATGGCA